>NC_000017.11:21985100-21992061 GCF_000001405.40 Homo sapiens | reverse complement strand
TTTCATTGCATTCCATTCCGCTCCACTCAGGTTGATTTAATTCCATTTGATTCCACTCCATTCCATTCCATACAATTCCATTCCAGTTGATTCAATTCCATTCTACTCCATTCCATTCCATTCCATACCATTCCATTGCATTCCACTTGGGTTGATTCCATGCCATTCCATTCCATTCCATTCCATTCCATTCCTTTCCATTACATTCCATTCCAGGTCATTCAATTCCATTCTATAACATTCCATTCAATTCCATTCCATTTGATTCAATTCCATTCTATTCCATTCCTTTCCATACCATTCCATTCCATTCCATTCCACTCGGGTTGATTCAGTTCCATTGTATTCGATTCCATTCCATTCCATTCCATTCCATTTCATTGCATTCCATTCCATTCCATTCCAATCGGGTGGATTCAATTCCATTCTCTTCCATTCTATTCCATTCCATTCCATTCCACTCGGATTCTTTCAATTACGTTCTATACCATTCCATTCCATTCCATTCCATTCCACTCCATTCCATTCCTGTTGATTCTATTCCATTCAAATCCATTCCATTCTATTCCATTCCATTCCATTCCTTTCCAGTTGATTCCATTCCATTCCATTCCATTCCATTCCATTCCATTTCATTCTATTCCATTCCAATCTATTCCATTCCATTCCATTCCATTCCATTCCATTCCATTCCATTCCATTCCATTCCTAACGGGTTAGTTCTATTAAATTCCGTTCCATTTCATTCCATTCTATTCCATTCCATTTCTTTCCGTTCAGTTCCGTTCCGTTCCATGCCATTCCGTTTCATTCCACTCCATTCCATTCTATTCCATTTCGCTTGGGATGATTCAATTCCATTCTATTCCATTCAATTCCCTTCCATTGCTTTGCATTCCTTTCCAATCCATTCCATTCCATTTCACTCGGGTTTATTAAAATTCCATTCTATTCCATTCCATTCCACTTGATTCTATTCAATTCCATTCCATTCCACCAGGGTTGATTCAATTCCATTCCATTCCATTCCAGTTGATTGAACTCCATGCTATTCCATTCCATTCCATTCCATTCCATTCGGGTTGATTCCATTCCATTCCATTGCATTCCATGCCATTCCATTCCATTCCAGTCCATTCCACTCCACTCCACTCCATTCCATTCCATTCCACTCGGGTTGATTAAATTCCATTCCATTCCATTCCGTTCCATTCCATTCCATTTCTTTCCAATCGGGTTGATTCTATTCCTTTCCATTCCACTCCATTCCATTCCATTCTATTCCATTCCATTCCATTCCTCTCCATTCAATTCCGTTCCATTCCATTCCATTCAACTCCACTCCAATCCATTCCATTCCATTCCATTCCTCTCATGTTGATTCCATTCCATTCCATTCCATTCCGTTCTATTCCATTTCATTCCTTTCCATTCCATTCGGGTTGATTCATATCCATTCCATTCCATTCTATTCCATGCCTTTCCAATCCATTCCATTCGGGTTGATTCAGTTCCATTCTATTCCATTCCATTCCATTCCATTCCAATCCATTCCATTCCATTCCATTCCAGTTGATGCAATTCCATTCTATTCCTTTCCATTCCTTTCCTGTTGATTCAATTCCATTCCAATCCATTCCATTCCATTCCAGTTCATTCAATTCCATTCTATTCCATTTCATTCCCTTCCAATCCATTCCATTCCAATGCATTCCATTCTATTCCTCTCGGATTGATTCAATTCCATTCCATTCCATTCCATTCCATTGCATTGCATTATATTACACTAAGGTTGACTCAATTCCATCCTATTCCATTCCATTCCATTCCATTCCACACGGGTTGATTTAATTCCATTCCATTCCATTCTGGTTGATTCCCTTCCATTCCGTTCCATTCCATTCCATTCCATTCCATTCTGGTTGATTCCCTTCCATTCTGTTCCATTCCATTCCATTCCATTCCACGCCACTCTGGTTGGTTCCATTTCATTCCATTCCATTCCATTCCATTCCACTCCATCCCATCCCTTTCCACTGGGGTTAATTCCATTCCATTCCGTTACACTCCATTCCATTCCATTCCATTCCATTATACTCCATTCCATTCCATTCCATTCCATTCCACTCCATTCCATTCCATTCCATTCCACTCCATTCCATTCCATTCCATTCCTTTCCATTCCACACCACTCCAATCCATTTCATTCCACTCGTGTTGATTCCATTCCATTCCACTCCATTCCACTCATGTTGATTCAATTCCATTCTATTGCATTCCATTCCATTCCCTTCCATTCCATTCCATTCCATTCCGTTCCACTTGGGTTGATTCAAATCCATTCCATTCCATGCCATTCCAATCCATTCCATTAGAGTTGATTCAGTTCCAATCTATTCCATTCCATTCCATTCCAGTCCAGTCCATTCCATTCCATTCCAGTTGATTGAATTCCATTCTACTCCTTTCCAATCCGTTCCAGTTGATTCAATTCCATTCAATACAAATCAATTCCATCCCATTCCATTCCAGTTGATTCAATTCTATTATATTCCATTCCATTCCATTCCATTCCAATTGATTCAATTCCATTCTTTTCCATTCCATTGCAGTTCATTCCATTCCATTGCATTCCAGTCCATTCCACTCGGGTTGATTCCATTCCATTCCATTCCATTCCAGTTCATTCAATTCCATTCTTTTCCATTCCATTCCTTTCCATTCCATTGCATTGCATTCCATTACATTCCATTCCATTCCCCTCGGGTTGATGCCATTTCATTCCATTCCATTCGATTCCAACCCTTTCCATTCCACTCCATTCTCTTCCATTGTACTTGGATTGATTAAATTCAATTCCGTTCCATTCCATTCCATTCCATTCCATTCCATTCCATTCCTCTCGGGTTGATTCCATTCCATTCTATTCCATTCCATTCCATTTCATTCCTTTCCTCACGGGTTGATTCAATTCCTTGCTATTCCATTTCATTCCATTTCATCCCATTGCATTACATTACATTCCACTCGGGTTTATTCCATGCCATTCCATTCCATTCGATTCCATTCCATTCCAGTCCATTCCACTCGACTCCAATCCATTCCATTCCATTCCACTCGGGTTGATTAAATTCCATTCCATTCCATTCCATTCCATTGCATTCCCCTCGGATTGACTCAATTCCATTCTATTCCATTCCATGCCATTCCACACGGGTTGATTTAATTCCATTCCATTCCATTCTATTACATACCATTCCATTCCATTCCATTCTGTTTCATTCCATTCCATTCCATTCCATTCCACACCATTCCATTCCATTCCACTGCACTCGGGTTGATTCCATTCCATTTCATTGCATTCCATTTTATTCCATTCCATTCCACTCCATTCCATTCCTTTGCACTCGCGTTGATTCCATTCTATTCCATTCCACTGCGTTCAATTCCATTCCGTTCCATTCCACTCCTCTCCACTCCATTCCATTCCATTCCATTCCTCTCGTGTAGATTCCTTTCCATTGCAATCCATTCAATTCCATTCCACTCGGGATGATTTAATTACATCCTATTGCATTCCATTCCATTCCCTTCCGTTCCATTCCATTCCATTCCATTCCATTCCAATCGGGTTGATTCTATTACATTCTATTCCATTCCATTCCATTCCTTTCCTTTCCATTCCATTCCAATCCATTCCAGGTGATTCAATTCCATTCTATTCCATTTCATTGCTTTCCAGTTGATTCCATTCCATTCCATTCCTTTCCATTCCATTCCATTCCAGTTGAATCAATTCCATTCTATTACATTCAATTCCATTCCATTCCATTTCATTCGATTCCAGTTGATTCAATTCCTTCTATTCCATTCCCTTCTAATCCATTCAATTCCATTCCATTCGATTCCAGTTGATTCAATTCCTTCTATTCCATTCCATTCTATTCCATTCAATTCCATTCCATTCCATTGCAATCCATTCCATTCCACTCGCGTTGATTCAATTCCATTCTGTTCCATTCAATTCCATTCAATTCCATTCCATTACATTACATTACATTACATTACATTACATTACATTATATTACATTACATTACATTCCTCTCGGGTTGATTCAATTCCATTCCATTACATTCCATTCCATTCCATTCCAGTTGATTCAATTCTATTCTATTCCATTCCATTCCATTCCTTTCCATTCCACTCTCTTGTTTATTCAATTCCACTCTCTTCCATTCCATTCCATTCCATTCCATTCCACTCGTGTTCGTTCAATTCCATTCCATTCAATTCCATTCCATTCCTTTCAATTCCATTCCATTACATTCCATTTCTGTCGGTTTGATTCCATTCCATTCCATTCCATTGCATTCCAGTTGATTTAATTCCATTCTATTCCATTCCATACAATTCCATTCCATTCCATTCCATTCCACTCCACTCCATTCATGTTGATTCAATTCCATTCTATTCCATTCCATTCCATTATATTCCATTCCATTCCATTCCAATCGGGTTGATTCTATTACATTCTATTCCATTCCATTCCATTCCTTTCCTTTCCATTCCATTCCAAGCCATTCCAGGTGATTCAATTCCATTCTATTCCATTTCATTGCTTTCCAGTTGATTCCATTCCATTCCATTCCTTTCCATTCCATTCCATTCCATTCCAGTTGAATCAATTCCATTCTATTACATTCAATTCCATTCCATTCGATTCCAGTTGATTCAATTCCTTCTATTCCATTCCATTCTATTCCATTCAATTCCATTCCATTCCATTGCAATCCATTCCATTCCACTCGCGTTGATTCAATTCCATTCTGTTCCATTCAATTCCATTCAATTCCATTCCATTACATTACATTAAATTACATTACATTCCACTCGGTTTCATTCCATTCCATTCCATTGCACTCGTGTTGAATCCATTACATTCCATTCCATTCAATTTCATTCAATTCCATTCCATTCCATTCCATCCCACTCCACCGGGTTGATTCCATTCCATTCCATTCCAGTATTTCCATTCCATTCCATTCCATTCCAGTCGCGTTGATTCCTTTCCATTTCATTCCATTGCGTTCCATTTCATTCCATTCCATTCTATTCCATTCCATTCCCAATGATTCCATTCCATTCCATTCCACCCCACTCGGGTTGATTCCATTCCATTGCATTTCATTCCATTCATTCCACTCAGGTTGATTCAATTCCATTCCATTCCATTCCATTCCATTCCAGTTGATTCAATTCCATTCCATTCCAATCCATTCCTTTCCATTCCCTGACCTTCCCTTCCATTCCCTTCTATTCCATTCCACTCGGGTTGATGCAATTCCATTCTATTCCATTCCATTCCAATCCATTCCATCCCATTCCATTCCATTCCTTTCGATTCCATTCCATTTCACTCGGGTTGATTAAAATTCCATTCTAATCCATTCCATTCCACATGATTCGATTCCATTCCCTTCCATTCCACTAGGGTTGATTTAATTCCATTCCATTCCATTCCAGTTGATTCAACTCCACGCTATTCCATTCCATTCCATTCCATTCCACTCAGGTTGATTCCAATCCATTCCATTGCATTCCATGCCATTTCATTCCATTCCATTCCAGTCCATTCCACTCCACTCCACTCCATTCCATTCCATTCCTCTCGGGTTGGTTAAATTCCATTTCATTCCATTCCATTCTATTGCATTCCATTCCATTCCTCTCCATTCAATTCCGTGCCATTCCATTCCATTCAACTCCACTCCAATCCATTCCATTCCATTCCATTCCTCTCATGTTGATCCCATTCCATTCCATTCCATTCCATTCCTTTCCACTAGCGTTGATTCAATTCCATTCTATTGCATTCCATTCCATTCCCTTCCATTCCATTCCGTTCCATTCCATTTCATTCCATTCTGTTGCATTCGGGTTGATTCAAATCCATTCCATTCCATTCCATGCCTTTCCAATCCATTCCATTCGGGTGGATTCAGTTCCATTCTATTCCATTCTATTCCATTCCAATCCAGTCCATTCCGTTCCATTCCAGTTGATGCAATTCCATTCTATTCCTTTCCATTCCTTTCCTGTTGATTCAATTCCATTCCAATCCATTCCGTTCCATTCCAGTTCATTCAATTCCATTCTATTAAATTCCATTCCCTTCCATTCCATTCCATTCCATTCTATTCCATTCCATTCCATTCCAATCCATTCCATGCCAATCCATTCCATTCCATTCCTCTCGGATTGATTCAATTCCATTCCATTGCATTGCATTATATTACACTCAGGTTGATTCAATTCCATCCTATTCCATTCCATTCCATTCCACACGGGTTGATTTAATTCCATTCCATTCTGGTTGATTCCCTTCCATTCTGTTCCATTCCATTCCATTCCATTCCACTCCACTCAGGTTGGTTCCATTCCTTTCCATTGAATTCCCTTCCATTCCATTCCACTCCATTCCATCCCTTTCCACTCGGGTTAATTCCATTCCATTCCGTTTCACTCTTTTCCATTCCATTCCATTCCATTCGACTCCATTCCATTCCATTCCATTCCATTCCATTCCATTCCCTTCCACTCCATTCCATTCCATTCCATTCCATTCCACGCCACTCCAATCCATTCCATTCCACTCGTGTTGATTCCATTCCATTCCATTCCATTCCATTCCACTCGTGTTGATTCAATTCCATTCTATTGCATTCCATTCCATTCCCTTCCATTCCATTCCGTTCCACTCGGGTTGATTCAAATCCATTCCATTCCATTCCATTCCATTCCATGCCATTCCAATCCATTCCATTAGGGTTGATTCGGTTCCAATCTATTCCATTCCATTCCATTCCAGTCCAGTCCAGTCCAGTCCAGTCCATTCCATTCCAGTTGATTGAGTTCCATTCTATTCCTTTCCATTCCCTTCCAGTTGAGTCAATTCAATTC
>NC_000017.11:21983554-21984549 GCF_000001405.40 Homo sapiens | reverse complement strand
TCCATTCCATTCCATTCCATTCCATTCCATTCCATTGCATTCCCCTCGGATTGACTCAATTCCATTCTATTCCATTCCATTGCATTCCACACAGGTTGATTTAATTCCATTCCATTCCATTTTATTCTATACCATTCCATTCCATTCCATTCTGGTTGATTCCATTGCATTCCATTCCATTCCACACCATTACATTCCATTCCACTGCATTCCGGTTGATTCCATTCCATTTCATTCTACTGCACTCCGGTTGATTCCATTCCATTTCATTCCATTCCATTCCATTCCACTGCATTCCGGTTGATTCCATTCCATTTCATTCTACTGCACTCCGGTTGATTCCATTCCATTTCATTCCATTCCATTCCATTCCTCTCGTGTAGATTCCATTCCATTCCAATCCATTCCATTCCACTCGGGATGATTCAATTCCATTCCTATTGCACTCCATTCCATTCCATTTAATTCCATTCCATTCCTTTCAATTCTGCTCATGTTGATTCCATTCCATTCCTCTGCATTCCATTCCATTCCAATCCACTCGGGTTGATCCCGTTCCATTCCTTTCCATTCCATTCCATTCGGGTTGATTCCATTCCATTGCATTATTTTCCATTCCATTCCATTCCTTTCCATTCCATTCCATTCCATTTCACTCCACTCGGATTGGGTGCATTCCATTCCATTCAATTCCATTCCTCTTGGGTTGATTCCATTCCATACCATTCCGTTCCTTTCTGTTCCGTTCCATTCCATTCCATTCCACTCGGGTTGATTCCATTCCATTCCATTCCATTCCATTCCATTCCATTTCTTTCCATTCCATTCCACTCAGGTTGATTCCATTCCATTCCATTTCATTTCACTCGGTTGATTCCATTCCATTCGATTCCACTCCGGTTGATTCCATTCCGTTCAATTTCATTCCATTAAATTCCATTCAATTGAATTCCATTCCATTCCATTCCACTCGCGTTGATTCCATTCCATTACAT
>NC_000017.11:21976531-21983452 GCF_000001405.40 Homo sapiens | reverse complement strand
CAGTCGGGTTGATTCCATTCCCTTCCATTCCATTCCATTCCATTCCACTCCACTAGGGTTGATTCCATTCTATTCCATTCCATTCCATTCCATTCCACTTGGGTTGATACCGTTCCATTCCATTCCATTCCGTTCCATTCCATTCCATGCCATTCCATTCCACTCGGGTTGATTCCATTCCATTCCATTCCATTCCATTCCTTTCCATTCCATTCCACTCCACTCGGGTTGATTCTATTGCATTCCATTACATTCCATTCCATTCCATTCGGGTTTATTCCATTCCATTCCATTCCATTCCGTTCCATTCCATTCCATTCCATTCCATTTCACACGGGTTGTTTCCGTTCCATTCCATTCCACTGCATTCCATTCCATTCCATTCCATTCCGTTCCATTCCATTCCATTCCATTCCACTCCAATCAGGTTGGTTCCATTCCAATCCATTCCATTCCATTGCATTCCATTCCATTCCATTCCAGTTGATCACATTATAGTCCATTGCATTCCATTCCTTTCCATTCGACTCGGGTTGATTCCATTCCATTCCATTCCATTTCATTCTACTCGTGTTGATTCCATTCCTTTCCCTTCCATTCCATTCCATTCCATTCCATTTGGGTTGGTTCCATCCCATTCCCACCCATTCCATTCCATTCCATTCCATTCCATTCCATTCCATTCCATTCATTTCAGGTTGGTTCAATTCCATTCTATTCCATTCCATTCCATTTCATTCCTTTCCACACGAGTTGATTCAATTCCTTGCTATTCCATTTCATTCCATTTCATTCCATTGCATTACGTTACATTCCACTCGGGGTTATTCCATTCCATTTCATTGAATTCCATTCCATTCCATTCTAGTCCATTCCACTCCACTCCAATCCTTTCCATTCCATTCCACTCGGGTTGATTAAATTCCATTCCATTCCATTCCATTCCATTCCATTGCATTCCCCACGGATTGACTCAATTCCATACTATTCCATTCCATTCCATTCCATTCCACACGGTTTGATTTAATTCCATTCCATTCCATTCTATTACATACCATTCCATTCCATTCCATTCTGGTTGATTCCATTCCATTCCATTCCACACCATTCCATTACATTCCACTGCACTCGGGTAGATTCCATTCCATTTCATCCCATTCTGTTCCTTTCCATTCCATTCCACTCCATTCCATTGGTTTGCACTCGGGTTGATTCCATTCCATTCCATTCCATTGCATTCCACTCCATTCAATTCCTTTCCTTTACATTCCATTCCACTCCACTCCACTCCATTCAATTCCTTTCCATTCCTCTCATGTAGATTCCTTTCCATTCCATTCCATTCCATTCCACTCGGGATGATTCAATTCCATCCTATTACATTACATTACATTACATTACATTACATTACATTACATTACATTACATTCCACTCGGGTTGAATCAATTAAATTCGATTCTATTCCATTCCATTCCATTCCATTCCATTCCTTTCCATGCCATTCCAATCCATTCCAGGTGATTCAATTCCATTCTATTCCATTTCATTCCTTTCCAGTTGATTAAATTCCATTCCATTCCATTCCTTTACATTCCATTCCAGGTGAATCAATTCCACTCTATTCCACTAAATTCCATTCCATTCCATTCCATTCCAGTTGATTCAATGCTTTCTATTCCATTCCATTCCATTCCAGTCCATTCCATTCCATTGCAATCCATTCCATTCCACTCACGTTGATTCAATTCCATTCTGTTCCATTCAATTCCATTCCATTACATTACATTACATTACATTACATTACATTACATTACATTACATTAGATTACATTCCACTCGGGTTCATTCAATTCCATTCCATTCCATTCCAGTTGATTCAGTTCCATTCCATTCAATTCCATTCCATTCCATTCAATTCCATTCCATTACATTCCATTTCTCTCGGTTTGAATCCATTCCATTCCATTCCATTCCATTCCATTGCATTCCAGTTGTTTCAATTCCATTCTATTCCATTCCATTCCATTCTATTCCATTCCATTACATTCCATTCCAGTTGATTCCTTTCCATTGCGTTCCACTCCATTCAATTCCATTCCATTTCATTTCATTCCACTCGGATTGATTCAATTCCATTCTATTCCATTCCATTCCAATCCATTCCATTCCATTCCACTCCGGGTGATTCCATTCTGTTCCATTCCATTACTTTACATGCCACTCCATTCCATTCCATTCCACTCGAGTTTTCCATTCCATTCCATTCCATTCCATTCCAGTCCATTCCGTTTCAATCCATTCTCTCGGATTGATTCAATTCCATTCCATTCCATTCCATTCCATTCCATTCCATTCCATTCCATTCCATTACATTACATTACATTACATTACATTACATTACATTATATTACATTCCACTCGGTTTCATTGCATTCCATTCCATTCCATTCCATTACACTCGTGTTGAATCCATTCCATTCCATTCCAATCCATTCAATTTCATTCAATTCCATTCCATTCCCTTCCATTTAATTCCATTCCATTCCTTTCAATTCCGCTCGTGTTGATTCCATTCCATTCCTCTGCATTCCATTCCGTTCCAATCCACTCGGGTAGATCCCATTCGATTCCTTTCCATTCCATTCCACTCGGGTTGATTCCATTCCATTGCATTATTTTCCATTCCATTCCATTCCTTTCCATTCCATTCCATTCAGTTCCACTCCACTCGGGTTGGGTGCATTCCATTCCATTCAATTCCATTCCTCTTGGGTTGATTCCATTCCATTCCATTCCGTTCCTTTCCGTTCCGTTCCATTCCTTTCCTTTCCACTCGGGTTGATTCCATTCCATTCCATTCCATTCCATTCCATTCCATTCCACTCGCGTTGATTCCATTCCATTCCATTTCATTTCACTCGGTTGATTCCATTCCATTCCATTCCATTCCACTCCGGTTGATTCCATTCCGTTCAATTCCATTCCATTAAATTCCATTCTATTGAATTCCATTCCATTCCATTCCATTCGCGTTGATTCCATTCCATTCCATTCCATTCCACTCCATTCCATTCCATTCCATATCACTCGGGTTGACTCCATTCCCTTCCATTCCATTCCATTCCATTCCATTCCATTCCACTCCATTCCATTGCATTCCATACCATTCCATGCCATTCCAATCCATTCCGTTACATTGCATTCCATTCCATTCCACTCTATTCCTGTTGATTCCATTCAAATCCTTTCCATTCCTTTGCATTCTATTCCATTCCATTCCCTTAAATTCCATTCCACTCGAGTTAATTCCATTCCATTCCGTTCCATTCCATTCCAATCCATTCCACTAGGGTTGGTTCCTTCCCATTCCAATCAATTCCATTCCATTCCACTCGGGTGGATTCCGTTCCATTCCATTTCATTCCATTCCATTCCATTAAAATCGGGCTGATTCCCTTGCATTCCATAGCATTCAATTCCGTGCCATTCCATTCCATTCCACTCCACTGGGGTTGATTCCATTCTATTCCATTCCATTCCATTCCGTTCCAAATGTGTTGATACCGTTCCATTCCATTCCATTCCGTTCCATTCCATTCCATGCCATTCCATTCCACTCGGGTTGATTCTATTCCATTCCATTCCATTCCATTCCTTTCCATTCCATTCCACTCCACTCGGGTTGATTCTATTGCATTCCATTCCATTCCATTCCATTCCATTCGGGTTTATTCCATTCCATTCCATTCCCTTCCATTCCAATCCATTCCATTCCATTTCACTCAGGTTTCTTCCGTTCCATTCCATTCCACTGCATTCCATTCCATTCCATTCCACTCGCGTTAATTCCATTCCATTCCATTCCATTCCATTCCACTCCACTCAGGTTGATTCCATTCCAATCCATTCCATTCCATTGCATTCCATTCCATTCCATTCCAGTTGATTACATTATAGTCCATTGCATTCCATTCCTTTCCATTCCACTCGGGTTGATTCCATTCCATTCCATTCCATTCCATTTCATTCTACTCGTGTTGATTCCATTCCTTTCCCTTCCATTCCATTCCATTCCATTCCATTAGGGTTGGTTCCATCCCATTCCCATCCATTCCATTCCATTACCTTCCATTCCAATCCATTTCAATCCATTCCATTCCCCTCCGTTTGATTCCATTCCCTTCCATTCTATTCCATTCCATTCCACTCGGTTTGATTCCATTCCATTGAATTCCATTCCATTCCAATCCATTCCACTTGGGTTTATTCCATACCATTCCGTTCCATTCCTTTCCAATCCACTTTTCTCCACTCCACTGCACTCCACTCCACTCGGGTTGATTACATTCCATTCCATTCCTTTCCATTCCATTCCTTTCCATATGATTCCATTCCATTCCTCTCAGGTTGATTCCATTCCATTCCATTTGATTCCATTCCATTCCATTCCATTCCACTCAGGTTGATTCCATTCCATTCCATTCCATTTCATTCCACTCAGGTTGTTTCTATTCCGTTCCATTCCATTCAATTCCATTCCATTCTATTCCACTCCATTCCTCTTGGGTTGTTACAGTACCATTCTATTCTTTTCCATTCCATTCCATTCCACTCGGGTTTATTCAATTGCATTCCATTCCATTCTATTTCACTCCACTCCATTCCTGTTGATTTAATTCCATTCGATTCCATTCGATTCCATTCCATTAAATTCCATTCCAATCCATTCCATTCCATTACAATTGGGTTGATTTCATTCCATTAATTTCCATTCCTTTCCACTCCATTCCATTCCATTCCAGTTCATTCAATTCCATTCTACTCCATTCTATTCCATTCCATTCCATTCCACTCTTGTTTATTCAATTCCACTCTGTGCCATTCCATTCCATTCTATTCCTCTCATCTTCATTCAATTCCATTCCATTCAATTCCATTCCATCGCATTCCATTCAATTCCATTCCATTCCTTTTCTCTTGGTTTGATTCCATTCCATTCCATTCCATTCCAGTTGATTCAATTCCATTCTATTCCATTCCATTCCATTCTACTCCATTCCATTGTATTCCATTCCACTCTGGTTGATTCCATTCAATTCCATTCCATTCCTTTCTATTGCATTCCTTGCCATTCCATTCCACTCGCGTTGATTCCATTCCATTCCATTCCACTGCATTTCTTTGCATTCCATTACATTCCATTCCACTACACTCGGTTTGATTCCATTCCATTCCATTCTATTCCAGTTCATTTCCTTCCATTTCATTCCATTCCATTCCACTCCATTCCACTCGGGTTGATTCCATTCCATTCCGTTCCATTCCATTCCATTCCATTACACTCCACTCCAATCCACTCCACTCTAATCGGGTTGATTCCATTCCATTCCATTCCATTCCATTCCATTCCACTCTAGTTGATTCAATTCCTCTCTTTTCCATTCCATTCCATTCCATTCCAGTTCATTCCATTCCATTCCATTCCATTCCATTCCATTTCACTCGGATTGATACCATTTCATCCCATTCCATTCCATTGCCTTCAATTCCATTCCAGATGATTCAATTCCATTCTATTCCATTCCATTCCATTGCATGCCATTCCATTCCAGTTGATTCAATGCCATTCCTTTCCATTCCATTCCATTGCATTCCATTCCACTCCACTCCACTCCACTCCACTCGGGTTGATTCCATTCCATTCCATTCCACTCGGGTTGATTCCATTCCATTCCATTCTATTCCACTGCATTCCACTCGTGTTGATTCCATTCCATTCCATTCCATTCCATTCCATTTCATTCCATTCGAGTTGATTCCATTCCATTCAATTCCATTCCATTCTGCTACATACTGTTCCATTCCATTCCACTGGGGTTTATTCCATCCCATTGCATTCCATTACATTCGATTCCATTCCATTCTATTTCATTCCACTTGTGTTGATTCCATTCCATACCATTTCATTCCATTCCATTCCACTTGTCTTGATTCCATTCCGTACCATTTCATTCCATTCCATTCCATTCCACTCGGTTTGATTACATTCCGTTGAATTCCATTCCATTCCTTTCGAGTTGATTACATTACATTACATTACATTACATTACATTACATTACATTACATTACATTACATTCCACTCGGTTTAATTTCATTCTGTTGAATTCCATTCCATTCCTTTCCAGTTGATTCCATTCCATTCCATTCCATTCCATTCCATTCCATTCTGCTCGTTTTATTCCATTCCGTTCCATTCCAAACCATTCCACTCGGGTTGATTCCATTCCATTCCATTCCATTCCAGTCCATTCCATTGCATTCCATTCCATTCCATTTCATTCCATTCCATTCCATTCCACTCCACTCGGGTTGATTCCATTGCATTCCTTTCCATTGCATTCCATGCTATTCCATTCCATTCCAATGGATTCCATTCCATTCCATTCCGTTCCACTCGGGTTGATTCCATTCCATTCCATTCCATTCCATTCCACTCCATTCCATTGCATTCCATTCCATTCCATTTCAATCCATTCCATTCCATTCCATTCCACTCCATTCCATTCCATTTCATTCCATTCCATTCCATTCCACTCCATTCCAATCCATTCCATTCCATTCCACTCCACTCGGGTTGATTCCATTCCTTTCCGTTACATTGCATTCCATGCTATTCCATTCCATTCCATTCCAATGGATTCCATTCCATTCCATTCCATTCCATTCCACTCGGGTTGATTCCATTCCATTCTATTCCATTCCATTCCATTCCACTCCATTCCATTGCATTCCATTCCATTCCATTTCATTGCATTCCATTCCATTCCACTCCATTCCATTCCATTCCACTCTATTCCATTCCATTTCATTCCATTCCATTCCATTCCTCTCCACTCTGGTCGATTCCATTCCATTCCA
>NC_000017.11:21860957-21976511 GCF_000001405.40 Homo sapiens | reverse complement strand
CAATCCATTCCATTCCATTCCATTCCATTCCACTCGAGTTGAATCCATTCCATTGCATTCCATTCCATTCCTTTGCATTCCATTCAATTCCATTCCGTTCCGTTCCATTCCATTCCATTCCATTCCATTCCACTCGGATTGATTCCATCTGATGCCATTCCTTTCCATTCCAATCCATTCCACTTGTATTGATTTCATTCTTTTCCATTCCATTCCATTTCACTCAATTTGATTGCATTCCTTTCCATTCCATTCCATTCCACTTGTGTTGATTCCATTCCATTCCATGCCATTCCATTCATTTCCATTCCCCTCCATTCCATTGCATTCCATTCCATTCCCTTCCATTCCATTCCATTACATTGCATTCCATTCCATTCCCTTCCATTCCATTCCATTCCATTCCATTCCATTCCATTCCATTCTATTCCATTCCACTCGGGTTGATTCCATTCCATTCCATTCCAGTTGATTCCATTTGATTCCGTTCCATTCCTTTCCATTCCACTCCATTCCACTTGGGTTGATTCCTTTCCATTCCATTCCATTCCATTTCATTCCATTCCATTCGATTCCACTCCATTCCACTCGTTTTGATTCCATTCCATTCCATTCCATTCCATTCCATTCCACTCGGGTTGATTCCATCCCATTCCATTCCATTCCATTCCACTCGGGTTGATTCCATTCCATTCCATTCCATTGCATTCCATTGCACTCGAGATTATTCCATTCCTCTCCATTCCATTCCGTTCCGCAGTTTGATTTCATTCCATTGAATTCCATTCCCTTCCATTCCATTCCATTCCATTCCATTCCACTCGGTTTGATTCCATGCTATTGAATTCCATTCCATTCCATTCCTTTCCATTCCACTCCACTCCACTCCTCTACAATGGGGTTGATTCCATTCAATTCCATTCCATTCCATTCCACTTCCGTTGATTCCATTCCATTCTATTCCTTTCCATTCCAATCCATTCCATTTCACTCGGCTTGATACCACTCCATTCCATTCCACTACAATCCGTTCCACTCGGGTTTATTCCATTCCATTCTATTCCATTCCATTCCATTCTATTCCATTCCATTCTATTCCATTCCATTCCATTCCATTCCATTCCATTCCATTCCATTCCATTCCACTCTGGTTGATTCCACTCAACTCCATTCCATTCCTTTCCATTGTATTCCTTGCCATTCCATTCCACTCGCGTTGATTCCATTCCATTCCATTCTACTGCATTCCTTTGCATTCCATTCCATTTCATTCCATTCCACTCCACTCGGTTTTATTCCATTCCATTCCATTCTATTCCAGTTCATTTCCTTCCATTTCATTCCATTCCATACCATTCCATTCCACTTGGTTGATTCCATTCCATTCCATTCCATTCTTTTCCATTACACTCCACTCCAATCCACTCCACTCCAATCGGGTTGATTCCATTCCATTCCATACCATTCCATTCCACTCGGTTGATTCCATTCCATTCCATTCCATTCTATTCCATTACACTCCACTCCAATCCACTCCACTCCAATCGGGTTTATTCCATTCCATTCCACTCTGGTTGATTCAATTCCATTCTATTCCATTCCATTCCATTCCAGTTCATTCCATTCCATTCCATTCCATTCCATTCCATTCCATTTCACCCGGAATGATACCATTCCATTCCATTCCATTCCATTGCCTTCCATTCCATTCCAGATGATTCAATTCCATTCTATTCCATTCCATTCCATGCCATTCCATTCCAGTTGATTCAATGCCATTCCTTTCCATTCCATTCCATTTCATTCCATTCCACTCCACTCCACTCCACTCCACTCGGGTTAATTCCATTCTATTCCATACCGTTCCGTTCCATTCCATTCCATTCCATTCCACTTGGATTGATTTCATTCCATTCCTTTCTATTCCATTGAATTCCATTCCATTCCACTCCATTCCATTCCATTCCACTCGGTTTGATTCCATTCCATTCCATTCCACTCGGGTTGATTCCATTCCATTCCATAACATTCCATTCTATTCCACTCCATTCCACTCGTGTTGATTCCATTCCATTCCATTCCATTTCATTCCATTCGAGTTGATTCCATTCCATTCAATTCCATTCCATTCCGCTCCATACCGTCCATTCCATTCCACTAGGGTTTATTCCATCGCATTGCATTCCATTACATTACATTCCATTCCATTCCACTTTTGTTGATTCCATTACCATACCATTTCTTTCCATTCCATTCCACTTGTGTTGATTCCATTCCATACCATTTCATTCCATTAAATTCCATTCCATTCCACTCGGTTTGATTCCATTCCGTTGAATTCCATTCCATTATATTCCATTCCGTTCTAGTTGATTCCATTCCATTCCATTCCATTCGGTTTGATTCCATTTCGTTGAATTCCATTCCATTCCATTCCATTCCGTTTGAGATGATTCCATTCCATTCCATTCCATTCCATTCCATTCCATTCCATTCCGTTTGAGATGATTCCATTCCATTCCATTCCATTCCGTTCCACTCGTTTTTATTCCATTCCATTCCATTCCATTCCACTCTGGTTGATTGCATTCAATTCCATTCCATTCCACTCCATTCCATTGCATTCCATTGCATTCCCTTCCATTCCATTCTATTCCATTCCATTCCACTCGGGTTGATTCCATTCCATTCCATTCCAGTTGATTCAATTCCATTCCATTCCATTCCATTCCAATCCATTCCACTCAAGTTGGTTCCATTCCTTTCCATTCCATTCCATTCCTTTCCACTCAGGTTGGTTCCATCCCATTCCATTCCATTCCATTCCCCTCGGGTTGATTCCATTCCATTCCATTCCATTCCATTGCATTCCATTGCAATTGAGTTTATTCCATTCCATTCCATTCCACTCGGGTTATTCCATTCCATTCCATTCCATTCCATTCCATTCCATTCCATTCCACTCGTGTTGTTTCCATTCCTTTCTGCTTCATTCCATTCCATTGGGGTTGGTTCCATCCCATTCTACTGCATTCCATTCCATTCCAATCCATTGCATTCCATTCCGTTCCCCTCCATTTGATTCCATTCCCTTCCTTTCTATTCCATTCCGTTTCTCTCGGTTTGATTCCATTCCATTGAATTCCATTCCATTCCATTTCACTCGTGTTCATTCCATTCCATTCCATTCCATTCCACTCTCTTTGATTCCATTCTATTGAATTCCATTCCATTCCATTCCACTTGGGTTTATTCCATACCATTCCATTCCATTCCATTCCAATCCAATTTTCTCCAGTCCACTCCACTCCACTCGGCTTGATTACATTCCATTCCATTCCTTTCCATTCCATTCCCTTCCATACCATTCCATTCCATTCCTCTCGTGTTGATTCCATTCCATTCCATTCCATTCCATTCCATTCCATTCCATTCCATTCCATTACACTCAGGTTGATTCCATTCCATTCCATTCCATTCCATTCCATTCCATTCCATTACACTCAGGTTGATTCCATTCCATTCCATTCCATTCCATTCCACTCAGGTTGTTTCTATTCGATTCCATTCCATTCAATTCCATTCCATTCCATTCCACTCCATTCCTCTCGGGTTAATATAGTACCATTCTATTCTATTCCATTCCATTCCATTCCACTCAGGTTGTTTCTATTCGATTCCATTCCATTCAATTCCATTCCATTCCATTCCACTCCATTCCTCTCGGGTTAATACAGTACCATTCTATTCTATTCCATTCCATTCCATTCCACTCGGGTTTACTCAATTCCATGTCATTCCATTCCTTTCCACTCTACTCCATTCCTGTTGATTTAATTCCATTCTATTCCATTCGATTCCATTCCATTAAATTCCATTCCAATCCATTCCATTCCATTCCAATTGGGTTGATTACATTCCATTAATTTCCATTCCTTTCCATTCCATTCCATTCCATTCCATTCCAGTTGATTCAATTCCATTCTGTTCCATTCTATTCCATTCCACTCTTGTTTATTCAATTCCACTCTATGGCATTCCAATCCATTCCATTCCATTCCTCTCATCTTCGTTCAATTCCATTCCATTCAATTCCATTCCATTGCATTCCATTCAATTCCATTCCATTCCATTCCATTTCTCTCGGTTTGATTCCATTCCATTCCATTCCACTCCATTCCATTCCATTCCAGTTGATTCAATTCCATTCTATTCCATTCCATTCCATTCTATTCCATTCCATTCTATTCCATTCCATTCCATTCTATTCCATTCCATTCCATTCCATTCCATTCCATTCCATTCCACTCTGGTTGATTCCACTCAACTCCATTCCATTCCTTTCCATTGTATTCCTTGCCATTCCATTCCACTCGCGTTGATTCCATTCCATTCCATTCTACTGCATTCCTTTGCATTCCATTCCATTTCATTCCATTCCACTCCACTCGGTTTTATTCCATTCCATTCCATTCTATTCCAGTTCATTTCCTTCCATTTCATTCCATTCCATACCATTCCATTCCACTTGGTTGATTCCATTCCATTCCATTCCATTCTATTCCATTACACTCCACTCCAATCCACTCCACTCCAATCGGGTTGATTCCATTCCATTCCATACCATTCCATTCCACTCGGTTGATTCCATTCCATTCCATTCCATTCTATTCCATTACACTCCACTCCAATCCACTCCACTCCAATCGGGTTTATTCCATTCCATTCCACTCTGGTTGATTCAATTCCATTCTATTCCATTCCATTCCATTCCAGTTCATTCCATTCCATTCCATTCCATTCCATTCCATTTCACCCGGAATGATACCATTCCATTCCATTCCATTCCATTGCCTTCCATTCCATTCCAGATGATTCAATTCCATTCTATTCCATTCCATTCCATGCCATTCCATTCCAGTTGATTCAATGCCATTCCTTTCCATTCCATTCCATTTCATTCCATTCCACTCCACTCCACTCCACTCCACTCGGGTTAATTCCATTCTATTCCATACCGTTCCGTTCCATTCCATTCCATTCCATTCCACTTGGATTGATTTCATTCCATTCCTTTCTATTCCATTGAATTCCATTCCATTCCACTCCATTCCATTCCATTCCACTCGGTTTGATTCCATTCCATTCCATTCCACTCGGGTTGATTCCATTCCATTCCATAACATTCCATTCTATTCCACTCCATTCCACTCGTGTTGATTCCATTCCATTCCATTCCATTTCATTCCATTCGAGTTGATTCCATTCCATTCAATTCCATTCCATTCCGCTCCATACCGTCCATTCCATTCCACTAGGGTTTATTCCATCGCATTGCATTCCATTACATTACATTCCATTCCATTCCACTTTTGTTGATTCCATTACCATACCATTTCTTTCCATTCCATTCCACTTGTGTTGATTCCATTCCATACCATTTCATTCCATTAAATTCCATTCCATTCCACTCGGTTTGATTCCATTCCGTTGAATTCCATTCCATTATATTCCATTCCGTTCTAGTTGATTCCATTCCATTCCATTCCATTCGGTTTGATTCCATTTCGTTGAATTCCATTCCATTCCATTCCATTCCGTTTGAGATGATTCCATTCCATTCCATTCCATTCCATTCCATTCCATTCCATTCCGTTTGAGATGATTCCATTCCATTCCATTCCATTCCGTTCACTCGTTTTTATTCCATTCCATTCCATTCCATTCCACTCTGGTTGATTGCATTCAATTCCATTCCATTCCACTCCATTCCATTGCATTCCATTGCATTCCCCTCCATTCCATTCTATTCCATTCCATTCCACTCGGGTTGATTCCATTCCATTCCATTCCAGTTGATTCAATTCCATTCCATTCCATTCCATTCCAATCCATTCCACTCAAGTTGGTTCCATTCCTTTCCATTCCATTCCATTCCTTTCCACTCAGGTTGGTTCCATCCCATTCCATTCCATTCCATTCCCCTCGGGTTGATTCCATTCCATTCCATTCCATTCCATTGCATTCCATTGCAATTGAGTTTATTCCATTCCATTCCATTCCACTTGGGTTTATTCAATTCCATTCCATTCCATTCCATTCCTTTCCACTCCACTCCTCTCCACTGCAGTTGATTCCTTTCCATTCCATGCCATTCCATTCCATTCCATTCCATTCCACTCGGGTTGATTCCATTCCATTCCATTCCATTCCATTCCCTTCCATTCCATTCCATTTCACTCGGGTTGATTGCATTCCATTCCATTGCATTCCGTTACATTCAACTCGGGTTTACTCCATTCCATTCCATTCCACTCGGGTTGATTCCATTCCTTTCCATTCCATTCCTTTCCATTCCATTCGGTTCATTCCATTCCATTCCTTTCCATTCCATTCCATTCCATTCCATTCCATTCCACTTGGGTTAATACCATTCCATTCAATTCGGGTTTATTCAATTCCTTTCCATTCCATTCCATTCCATGCCATTCCACTCCATCCCAGTCTACTCCAGTCCACTCCACTCCATTCGGGTTGAATTCATTGCATTCCATACCATTCCATTCCATTCCATTCTATTCCATTGGGATTGATTCCATTCCATTCCATTCCGTTCCATTCCTTTGATTGGCATTGCATTCCATTCCATTCCATTTCATTCCATTCCATTCCACTCGGGTTGTTTCCATTCCATGCCATTTCATTCAATTCCGTTCTATTCCATTCCATTCCATTCCAGTCCACTCCACTCGGGTTGATTCCATTCAATTGCATTCCACTCCATTCCATTCCATTCCGTTACATTCCACTCTGGTTGATTGCATTCCATTCCATTCTATTCCATTCCATTCCATTCCACACCACTCGGGTTGATATCATTCCATTACACTCCATTCCATTACATTCCATTACTCTCGGCTTGATTCCATTCCGTTGCATACCGTTCCATTCCATTCCATTCCATCCCATTCCATTCCATTCCACTCTGGTTGATTTCATCCCATTCCATTCCATTCAGGTTTATTTCATTCCATTCCATTCCATTCCATTCCATTTCACTCGGGTTGATTCCATTCCATTCCATTCCATTCCATTCCATTTCATTCCATTCCATTCTATTCCATTCCACTCGGTTTGATTCCATTCCATTGAATTCCATTCCATTCCATTCCACTCGGGTTGATTCCATTCCATTCCATTCCGTTCCATTCCAATCCATTCCATTCCCTTCCATTCCATTCCACTCGAGTTGATTCCATTCCATTCCATTCCGTTCCATTCCATTCCATTCCAATTGTGTTGATATTCCATTCCATTCCATTCCATTATATTCCATTCCACTCGGGTTGATTCCGTTCCACTCCATTCCATTCCATTCCTTTCCATTTCATTCCATTCCATTCCACTTCATTCCATTCCATCCCACTCCCTTCCATTCCCTTCCATTCCCTTCCACTCAGTTTGATTCCATTCCAATCAATTCCATTCCATTCCATGCCATTGCATTCGGGTTGATTCCATTCGATTTCATTGCATTCCATTCCATTCCACTCGGTTTGATTCTATCCCATTGAATTCCATTCCATTCCATTCCAGTGCGTTCCATTCCATTCCACTCGGGTTGATTCCCTTCCATTGCATTCCGTTCCATTCCAATCCATTCCATTCCATTCCACTCGGGTTGATTCCATTCCATTCCATTCCATCCCATTCCATTCCATTCCATTCCACTCACGTTGATTCCATTCCATTCCAATCCATTCCATTCTATTCCATTCCATTCTATTCCATTCCACTGGATTCCACTCCATTCCTTTCCACTACATTCCATTCTTTTCTATTCCATCGTATTCCATTCCATTCCATTTGATTACGTTGCATTCATTTCCATTCCATTCCAATCAATTACATTACAATCCATTATATTTGAGTCCGTTCTATTTCAGTCCATTCCAATCCGTTCCATTCCATTCAATTCATTCCATAATATTTCATTCCGTTCGATTCCATTCTATTCGACTAAATTCCATTCGAGACCATTCCTTTCGAGTCCATTCTATTTGAGTCGATTACATTCGAGTCCATTATATTTGCGTCCATTCCATTCCATTCGTAGCCATTCTATTCCATTGTATTCCATTCGAATACTTTCCTTTCAAGTCCATTCCATTCGATTCCTTTTGATGCCATTCCATTCGAATCTATTCCATTCGACTCCATTCCATTCCATCCGATTCCTTTGCCTTCTATTCCTTTCTTTCCATTCCATTCCATTCCATTCCAATCAATATCTTTCCATTACACTCCATTACATTCTATTCCGACCGATTCTATTCAATTCCGTTCCATTTGATTCCATTCCATTCCAGTCGATTCCATTCCAGTCCATTCCATTCGAATCCATTCCCTTCCATTCCATTCTATTCGATATCTTTCCATTACACTCCATTCCATTCTATTCCTTTCGATTCTAATCAATACCATATCTTTCAATTCCATTCCATTCGACTCCATTCCTATCAAGTCTATTCCATTCCTTTCCACTGCATTCCATTCCATTCTGTTCTGTTCGAATTAAATCTGTTTGATTCCATTTTTTTCCAGTCCATTCCATTCGAGTCCATTCCATTCCACTCCATTCCATTCTATTCCATTCAATTCGATTCCATTCCATTCGATGCCGTTCTGTTTGAATTGAATCTGTTCGATTCCATTTTTTCCCGTCCATTCCATTCGAGTCCATTCCATTCTATTCCATTCCATTCAATTCCATTCCATTCCACTCTTTTCCCCTCCATTTCATTCCATTGCATTCCATTCTATTCCATTCCATTGCTTTCCATTCCATTACATTTGATTACATTACATTCAATTCCATTCCTTTTGAATCAATTACTTTTCAATCCATTACATTCGAGTTCATTCTATTCCTGTCGATTCCATTCTTGTCTATTCCATTCGATTCCATCCCATTCGATTCCATTGCATACAATTGTATTCCATTCAATTCCATTCTATCCCAATAAATTCCTTTCGAGACCATTCCTTTCAAGTCAATTCTATTTAAGTCCATTCCATTCAAGTCCATTACATTTGGGTCCATTCCATTGCATTCCATTTCATTCCATTCAATTCCATTCGATGCTATTCCATCCTATTCTATTCAAATCGACTCCATTCCATTCTATTCCCTTCCATTCTTTCCATTCCATTCCCTTCGATGCCATTCCATTCGATTCTATTCCATTCGACTCCCTTCTATTCAATTCCGTTCCATCAAATTCTATTCAATTCTGTTCCTTTCCATTCCATTTACCTTCGTTTTCATTTCATTCGTGTCCATTCCACTTCAGTCGATTTCATTCAAGTCCACTCCATTCCACTCCATTCCATTCGAGTCCATTCCATTCCATACGATTTGCTATCTTTCCATGACAATCCATTCCATTCTATTCCTTTCGATTCCATTTTATTCCACTCCATTTAGTTCCATTCCTTTCTACTCCATTTCATTCGAGTCCATTCTCTTCCATTCCATTCCATTCCGTTCCATTCAATTCCAGTCCGTTCGAATCAATTTTGTTCCAGTCGATTACATTTGTGTCCATTCCATTCCAGTCCATTCCATTCGAGTCCATTCCATTCCACTCCATTCGATTCTGTTCCATTCCTGTTGATTCTACTCCTTTCCATTCCATTGCATTTCATTTTATTATTTTCCATTTCATTCCATTCCATTCCATTTGATTATATTCCATTAGATTCCATTCCTTTCAAATCTATTACATTGCAATCCATTAAATTTGAGTCCGATCTATTCCAGTCCCTTCCATTCCGGTCCATTCCATTCCATTCCATTACTTTCGATTCCATGTCGTACTATTGAATTCATTTTGGTTTCGTTCTATTTGAATAACTTCCACTCGAGACCATTCCATTCCAGTCCATTCTATTTGAGTCCATTCCATACGAGTCCATTATATTTGGTTCAATTCCATTCAAATCCATTCCATTCCATTCAATGCCATTCCATTCTATTGTATTCCATTTGAGTCCATTCCACTCCATTCGATGCCATTCCTTTCGATTCTATTCCATTTGACTCCATTCCTTTCAGTTCCTTTCCTTCTGACTACATTCCATTCAATTCCTTTCCATTCCTTTCCATTCGTTTCCATTCCATTCGAGTCCATTCCATTCCATTCCATTCGATGCAATTCCATTCGATTCTATTCCTTTCGACTCCATTCCATTGCGTTCTGTTCCCTCCAATTCCTTTTCATTCTGTTCATCTCCATTCCATTACATTCCTTTCCATTCCATTCTATTAGTTTCCATTCCATTCGAGTCCATTCCACTCCACTCCATTCCATTCGAGTGCATTCCATTCCAGTCCATTCCATTCAAGTCCATTCCATTCCATTAGATATCTTTCCATTACACTCTATTGCATTGTATTCCCTTTGATTCCATTCAATTCCATCCATTCGGATCCATTCCATTCAACTGCATTCCATTCGCGTCAGTTCCATTCAATTCGATTCTGTTCCGTTCCATTCGATTCCATTCCGTTCGATTCCATTTTGTTCCAGTCCATTCCATTCGAATCCATTACATTCCAGTCGATTACATTCGTTTCCATTCCATTCGATTCCATTCCAATCAATTCCATTCCACTCAATTCAATTCCATTCGATTCCACTCCATTCCATTCCTTTGCATTCTACTCTATTCCATTCCACTGCATTCCATTCTATTCTATTCAATTGCATTCCATTATATTACATTTGATTACATTCCATTTGATTCCAATCTATTCGAATCTATTACATTGCAATCCATTACATTCCAGTCTGTTCTATTCCAGTCTATACCATTCTGGTCCATTCCATTCTATTCCATTCCATACTATTGCATTCCGCTCAATTCCATTCTATTCGAATAATTTCCATTCGACACCATTCCTTTGAGTCAATTCTATTTGAGTCCATTCCATTAGAGTCCATTACATTTGGGTCCATTCCATTCCAATCGATGCCATTCCATTAGATTCTATTCCGTTCGTGTCCATTACATTAAATTCCATTCCATTCTTTTGGATGTCATTCCATTCGATTCCATTCCTTTCGAGTGCATTCCATCCCATTCCATTCCATCTGCTTCCATTCCATTCTATTCCTTTCCATTCCATTCCGTTCCATTCCATTCGTTTCCAGTCAATTCGTGTCCATTCTACTCCATTCCATTCCATTCGAGTCCATTCCATTCCTCTCCATTCCATTCGAGTCCTTTCCATTTGATTCTATTCCATTTGAGTCCATTCCATTCAAATCCATTCCTTTCCATTCCATTCTATTCCAATCCATTCAATTCGATGGCATTCCATTTGATTCTATTCCATTGAACACCATTCCATTACTTTACGTTTATTCCTGTTCCATTCCATTCTATTCCTTTCCATTCCATTCCATTCTATTCCATTCCATTCTTTTCCATTCCATTCGTGTCCATTCCCCACTAGTCCATTCCATTCGAGTCCATTCCATTCCAGTCCTTTCCATTCGAGTCCTTTAAATTCCATTCCTTTCCATTCCATTCCATTCCATATGTTTCATTTCACTCCATTCCATTCTATTCCTTTCGATTCTATTCAATTCCATTCCATTAGGTTCCATTCCATTCGTATCCATTCCATTCGAGTCCATTCCATTCCGTTCAATTCCAATCCGTTCGATTCCATTTTGTTCCAGTCCATTCCATTCAATTCCATTGCATTCGATTCCATTAAACTCGATTCCACTCCGTTCCATTCCGTTGCATTCCATTCTATTCCATTCCATTGCATTCTATTCCATTCCATTTGATTACATTCCATTCGAATCCATTCCATTCACATCAATTACATTGCAATGCATTACATTTGAGTCCGATCTATTCCAGTCCATTCCATTCCCCTCCATTCTATTTGATTCCATTCCATTCAATTACATTCCATACTCTTGTATTCCTTTCGATTCCATTCCATTCGAATAAATTCCATTGGAGAGCATTCCATTCGAGTCCATTCTATTTGAGTCCATGCCAGAGAGTCCATTACATTTGGGTCCATTCCATTCCAATCCATTCCATTCCATTTGATGCCATTCCTTTCTATTCTGTTCCATTCGATTCCATTCCATTTGATTCCATTTCATTCCATTACATTCCAATCCATTCGATGCCATTCCATTCGATGCTATTCCATTTGACTCCATCCATTCAGTTCCCTTCCATCCAATTACATTCCATTCAATTCCTTTCCATTCCATTCCATTACATTACATTCGTTTCCTTTCCATTCGGGTCCATTCCATTCCATTCCATTCCAGTCAATGCAATTCTATTCAATTCTATTCCATTCGTCTCCATTCCATTCCATTCTATTCCCTCCGATTCCATTTTATTCTATTCCGCTCCATTCCATTGCATTCCTTTCTATTCCATTCCATTCTTTTCCATTCCATTCATGTCCATTCCGCTCCAGTCCATTCCATTCGCGTCCATTTCATTCCACTCCGTTCCATTCGAGTCCATTCCCTTTTACTCCATTCTATTCGATATAATTCCATTACAATCCATTGCATTCTATCCTTTTGATTTCATTAAATTTCATCCATTCAGATCCTTTCCATTCGACTGCATTCCATTTGAGTCCATTCCATTCCATTCGATTCCATTGTGTTCCACTCGATTCCATTCCGTTCGATTCCATTTTGTTCCAGTCCCTTCCATTCGAGTCCATTACATTCCAGTCGATTCCATTCGATTCCATTCTGTTCGATTCCATTCCAATCAATTCCATTCCACTCAATTCCACTCCGTTCCATTCCATTGCATTCCATTCTATTCCATTTGATTGCATTCCATTCCATTACAATTGATTACATTCCATTTGATTCCAATCCATTCGAATCTATTACATTGCAATCCATTACATTCGAGTCCATTCTATTCCAGTCCATTCGGTTCCGGTCCATTCCATTCGATTGCATTCCATACTATTGCATTCCATTCAATTCAATTCTATCCGAATGAATTTCATTTCAGTCCATTCCTTTTGAGTCCATCCCATTTGACTCCATTTCATTAGAGTCCATTACATTTGGGTCCATTCCATTCGAAGCCATTACATTGGATTCTATTCCATTCGATTCCATTACATTAAATTTCATTCCATTCTATTTGATGTCATTCCATTCGATACTATTCCATTCGACTGCAGTCCATTCCATTCCAGTCCATCTGCTTCCATTCCATTCTATTCCTTTCAATTTTATTCCTTTCCATTCCATTCGTTTTCATTCCATTCGAGTCCATTCCTCTCTTCTCTATTCCATTTGAGTCCATTCCATTGCAGTCCATTCCATTCGAGTCCATTCCATTTGATTCTATTACATTCGAGTCCATTCCATTCGAGTCCATTCGTTTCATTCTATTCTATTCCAATCCATTCAATTCGATGGCAATCCATTTGATTCTATTCCATTGAACACCATTCCATTGCATTACATTCCATCCTATTCCATTCCATTCTATTCCATTCCATTCCATTGCATTCCATTCCATTCCAATCCATTCCATTCATTTCCATTACATTCGTGTCCATTACCCACTAATCCATTGCATTCAAGACCATTCCATTTCAGTCCATTGCGTTTGAGTCCATTCCATTTCATTCCATTCCATTCGATATGTTTCATTACACTCCATTCCAATCAATTACTTTCGATTCTATTCAATTCCACTCCATTTGATTTCCTTCCATTCGGTTCCATTCCATTCAACTCCATTCCATTTGAGTCCATTCCATTCCGTTCTATTCCAATCCGTTCGATTCCAATTTTTTCAAGTCCATTCCATTCGAGTCCAATCCATTCCAGTCCATTTCATTCGATTCCATTCCGTTCGATTCCATTCGATTCGATTCCATTCCACTCTATTCCACTCCATTCCATTCCGTTCCGTTCCATTCAATTCCATTCTATTGCATTATATTCCATTCCATTCAATTCCATTCCATTCAAATCCATTACATTTGAGTTCAATCTATTCCAGTTCATTCCATTCCGTTCCATTTCATTTGATTCCATTCCATTCGAGTCCTTTTCATACAATTGCATTCCTTTCGTTTCCATTATATTCTAATAAATTCCTGTAGAGACCATTCAATTCCAGTTCATTCTATTTGAGTCCATTCCATGGGAGTCCATTACATTTGGGTCCATTCCACTCCAATCCATTCCATTTCTTTCAATGCCATTCCATTCTATTCTATTCCATTTGACTTCATTCCATTCGATTCCATTCCATTCCATTCCTTTCCATTCCATTCGATGCCATTCCCT
Source organism: Homo sapiens (assembly GCF_000001405.40). NCBI lineage: Eukaryota > Metazoa > Chordata > Mammalia > Primates > Hominidae > Homo > Homo sapiens. Next base: position 21,962,127 of record NC_000017.11, on the reverse strand, counting down.
TCGATTCTATTCCATTTGACTCCATTACATTCAGTTCCCTTCCATCCAATTCCATTCCATTCAATTCCTTTCCATTCCTTTCCATTTGTTTCCATTCCATTCGAGTACATTCCATTCCATTCGATGCAGTTCCATTTGATTCTATTCCATTCGACTCCATTCTATTCCATTCTGTTCCCTCAGATTCCATTTCATTCTATTCCTCTCCATTCCATTGCATTCCTTTCAATTCCATTCCATTCGTTTCCATTCCATTCGTGTGCATTCCACTCGAGTCCATTCCATTGGAGTCCATTCCATTCCAGTCCGTTCCATTCGAGTCCATTCCGTACCATTCCATTCCATTCGGTATCTTTCCTTTACACTCCATTCCATTCTATTCCTTTTGATTCAATTCAATTCCATCCATTCGGATCCATTCCATTCAACTACATTCCATTCGAGTCCATTCCATGCCAATTGATTCCGTTCCATTCCATTCGATTCCAATCCGTTCGATTCCATTTTGTTCCAGTCCATTCCCTTTAAGTCCATTACATTCCAGTCGATTCCATTCGTTTCCATTCCATTCGATTCCAGTACAATCGATTCCATTCCACTCAATTCCATTCCATTCGATTCCACTCCTTTCCATTCCATTGCGTTCCATTCTATTCAATTTCATTGCATTCCATTCTATTCCATTCCATTGCATTCCATTCCAGTACATTTGATTACATTCCTTCGATTCCAATCCATCCGAATCTATTAGTTTACAATCCATTATATTCGAGTCCATTCTATTCCAGTCCATTACATTCCAGTCCATTCCATTCGATTCCATTCCACTCTATTCCACTCCGTTCCATTCTATTGCATTCCATTCCATTCCATTTGGATACAATCCATTCGATTCCATTCCATTAGAATCAATTACATTGCAATCAATTACATTCGATTCCATTCTTTTCCAGTCCATTGCATTCCATTCCATTCCATTTGATTCTATTATATTCGAGTCCATTCCATTCGAGTCAATTCTATACCATTCCATTCAATTCCATCCGATTCCATTCCATTCTATTCTATTCTTTCCTTTCCTTTCCATTTCTTTCCATTCCATTCCATTCCATTGAATTCGTTTCCATTGCATTCAAGTCTATTCCATTCCATTTCATTACATTTGATGCCATTCCAATCGATTGTATTCCATTCAACTCCATTCCATTCTATTCCTTTCCATCCTATTCCATTCCATTCTATTCCTTTCCATACTATTGCATTCTATTCCATTCCTTTCGTTTCCATTCCATTTGAGTCCATTCCTCTCCAGTCCATGCCATTCGAGTCCATTCCATTCCAGTCCATTCCATTCGAGTACATTCCTTTCCATCCCATTACATTCGATATCTTTCCTTTACACTCCATTCCATTTTATTTATTTCGATTCCATTCAATTCCATTCTATTCAATTCCAATCCATTGGATTCCATTCCATTCGAATCCATTCAATTCGAATCCATTCCATTCCATTCCTTTCCATTCCATTCCATTCAGTTTGTATCCCATGCATTGAATTCCATTTTGTTCCATTCCATTCCATTCGTGTTCATTCCATTCCAGTCCATTTCATTTGATTCCATTCCATTTGATTCCATTCCATTCGATTATATTCCACTCGATTCCACTACATTCCATTCCATTGCATTCCATTCTATTCCATTCCATTGCAATCCATTCCATTCCATTTGATTCCATTCCATTCGATTCCATTCCATTCGAATCAATTACATTGCTATCCATTATATTTGAGTCCATTCTATTCCAGTGCATTCCCTTCCAGTCCATTCCTTTCGATTCCTTTCCGTTCGATTCCATAGCATACAATTTCTTTCCATTCAAATTCATTCTATTTGAATAAATTCCATTCGAGACCATTCCTTTCGAGTCCATTCTGTTTGAGTCCATTACTTTCGAATCCATTACATTTGGGTACGTTCCATTCCATTCCATTCCTTTTGATGCCATTCCATTCGATTCTATTCCATTCGACTCCATTCCATTCCATTCCATCTGATTCCATTCCATTCTATTCTTTCCATTTCATTCCATTCAATTCGTTTCCATTCCTTTCGAGTCCATTCCATTGAATTACATTCCATTCGATGCCATTCCATTCGATTCTATTCCACTCGACTCCATTCCATTCCATTGCATTCCATCCGATTCCATTCCATTCTATTGTTTCCATTCCATTCCATTGCATTCGTTTCCATTCCATTCAAGTCCATTCCACTCCAGTCCATTCCATTGGAGTCCATTCCATTCGAGTCCATTCAATTCCAAACCATTCCATTCAATATCTTTCCATAGCAATCCATTCCATTCTATTTCTTTCGATTCGGTCCAATTCCATTCTATTCGATTGCATTCCATTCGATTCCATTCCATTCGACTCCATTCCTTTCGAGTCCATTGCTTTCCATTCCATTCCATTCCATTACATTACATTCTTTTCGAGTCCGTTGCATTGCATTCCTTTCCATTCCATTCCATTGTGTTCCGTTCGATTCCAATCCATTCTATTGCATTTTATTCCAGTCCATTCCATTCGAGTCCATTCCATTCCAGTCCATTCCATTTGATATATTTCCATTACACTCCATTCCATTCCATTCTATTCCTTTCTATTCCATTCAATTCCATTCCATTCGGTTCCATTCCATTCGACTCCATTCCATTCGAGTCCATTCCATTCCATTCTGTTCGATTCCAGTCCGTTCAATTCCGTTTTGTTCCAATCCAATCCATTCGAGTCCATTCCATTCCTGTCCTTTCCATTCGATTCCATTCCGTTCGATTCCATTCCATTTGATTCCATTCCTGTCAATTCCACTCTGTTCTGTTCCATTCCATTGCATTCCATTCTATTCCATTCCACTGCATTCCGTTCCATTTGATTTGATTACATTCCATTTGATTCCATTCCATCCGAATCAATTATATTGCAATCCATTACATTCGAGTCTGTTCTATTCCAGTCCATTCCATTCCGGTCCATTCAATTCGATTCCATTCTGTTCAATTCCAATCCACTAGATTCCTATCCATTCCATTCCATTGCATTCCATTTAATTCCATTCCATTGCATTCAATTCCATTCCATTTGATTATATTCCATTCAATTTCATTCCATTGAAATCAATTACGTTGAAATCCATTTCATTCTTGTTCATTCTATTCCAATCCACTCCATTTCAGTGCATTCCATTCGATTCCATTCCATTCAAATCCACTCCTTACAGTGGCATTCCGTTTGATTCCATTCTATTCGAATAAATATAATTCGATACCATTCTTTTTGAATCCATTCTATTGAGTCTATTCCATTGAGCCCAATACATTTGGGTGCATTCCAATTCAATCCATTCCATTCCAATCCATTCCAATCCAATCCATTCCATTCCATTCCATTCGAAACCATTCCATTCTATTCTATTCCATTGGATTCCATTCCATTCGAGACCATTCTATTTGATTCCATTCCATTCGATGCCATTCCATTCGATTCTATTCCATTCGAATCCATTCCATTCGATTCCATTCCATTCAATTCCATTCAATTATATTCCTTTCCATTCCATTCCATTCAATTCGTTTCCATTCCTTTCGAGTCCATTCCATTCCCGTCCATTCCATTCATGTCCAATCCATTCCAGTCCTTTCCTTTCGAGTCCATTCCATTCCATTCCATTTGGTTCCAATCCATTCCAGTCCTTTCCTTTCGAGTCCATTCCATTCCATTCCATTCCATTCGATATCTTTCCAATACTCTCCATTGAATTCTATTCCTTTCGATTCCATTCAATTCCATTCCATTCGATATCTTTCCAATACTCTCCATTGAATTCTATTCCTTTCCAATCCATTCAATTCCATTCCATTCAATTCCATTCCATTCGGTTCCATTCCATTCGACTCCATTCCATTCAAGTCCATTAAATTCCATTCATTCCGTTTGATTCCAATCCGTTCTTTTCCATTTTGTTCCACTCCATTCCATTCGAGTCCATTCCATTCCACTCAATTCCATTCGATTCCATTTCACTTGATTCAACTCCGTTCCATTCCATTGCATTCCATTCTATTCCAGTCCATTGCATTCCATTCCATTCCATTTGATTACATTCAATTCGATTTCATTCCTTTTGTATCAATTACATTGCAATTCGTTACATTCGGGTAGATTCTATTCCAGTCCATTCCATTCCAGTCCATTCCATTCAAATCCATTCCATTCAATTCCATTCCATTTAATTCCATTCCATACTTTTGCATTCCATTCGATTCCATTCCATACTATTGCATTCCATTCGATTCCACTCTTTTCGAATAAATTCCATTCGAGACCATTCCTTTCGACACCATTCAATTTGAGTCCATTCCTTTTGAGTCTATTACATTTGTTTCCATTCCATTCCATTCCATTCCATTCTACTCCTTTCCATTACATGCGATGCCATTCCATTCGATTCTGTTCCACTTGTGTCCACTCCATTCGAGTCCATTCCATTGCATTCCATTCTACTACATTCCATTCCATTCCATTCCATTCAGTGCCATTCCATTTGATTCTATTCCATTCAACTCCATTCCATTCCCTTCCATTTCATCCGATTCCAATCCATTCTATTCCTTTCCATTCCATTCCTTTCCATACGATTCAATTCCATTTGAGTCCATTCCACTCAAGTCCATTCCATTCTTGTCCATTCCATTCCGGTCCATTCTATTCGAGTCCATTCAGTTCCATTTCACTCCATTTGATATCTTTCCATTACACTCCATTCCATTCTATTCCTTTCTATTCCTTTCAATTCGATTTCATTCGATTCCATTCCATTTGACTCCATTCCATTCCATTCCATTCTATTCTGTTGCGTTTGATTCCAATCCGTTGGATTCCATTATTTTCCATTCCAAACCATTCGAGTCCATTCCATTCCAATCCATACCATTTGATTCCATTCCATTCAATTCCATTCCATTCAATTCCAATCCACTCGATTCCACTCCGTTCCATTCCTTTGCATTCCATTCTATTCCATTCCATTGCATTTTATTCCATTCCATTTGATTCCATTCCATTCCACTCGAATCAATTACATTGCATTCCATTACATTCGAGTCCTTTCTATTCCAGTCAATTCCATTCAGGTCCATTCCATTCGATTTCTTTCCATTCAATTCCATTCCATACTATTGCATTCCATTTGATTCCATTCTTTTCGAATAAATTCCATTAGAGACGATTCCTTTCCAGTGCATTTTATTTGAGACATTTCCTTTCAAGTCCATTACATTTCAGTCCATTCCGTTCCATTCCATTCCATTCCATTCGATGCCATTCCATTCAATTCTATTAAATTCGAGTGCATTCCGTGAGAATCCATTACTTTCATTGCCATTCCATTCAATTCTACTTCCTTTGAATCCGTTCCATTCCATTCCGTTCCAACCGATTTCATTCCCTTGTATTCCTTTCCACTCCATTCCTTTCCCTTCCATTCGTTTCCTTTCCATTCGAGTCCATTCCACTCCAGTATTTTCCATTCGAGTCCATTCCATTCCATTCCATTCTATTTGAATCCATTCCATTACATTACATTCAGTGTCTTTCCATTGCACTCCATTCCATTCTATTCCTTGTGATTCAATTCAATTCCATGCCTTTCTATTCCATTCCATTTGATTCCATTCCATTCGACTGCATTCCTTTCAAGTCCATTAAATTCCATTCCATTACTTTCCATTGCATTAGATTCCAATCGATTCCATTCCATTTTTTTCCAGTCCATTCCTTTCGATTCCATTCCATTCCAGTCCATTCCATTTGATTCCGTCCCATTCTATTCCATTCCACTCGATTCCACTCTGTTCCATTTCATTGCATTCCAATCTATTCCATTCCATTGCATTCCATTCCATTCCATTTGATTATGTTTCATTCGATTCCATTCCGTTTGAATCAATCACATTGAAATCCATTGCATTTGAGTCCCTTCTATTCCAGTCCATTCCATTCTGGTCCAATCCATTCGATTCACTTCCATTTGATGCCATTCAATACTGCTGCATTACATTAGATTCCATTCTATTTGAATGAATTCCAGTCAAGAGCATTGCTTTCGAGTCCATTCCAGTAAAGTCCATTAATTTCAAATCCATTCTATTTGGGTCCATTCCGTTCCCTTCCATTCAATTCCATTCCATTCCATACGATGCCATTCGATTCCATTCCATTCCATTCGAGTCCATTCCATTCCATTCCTTTTGAAGCCATTACATTCGATTCCATTCCATTCGACTCCATTCCCTTCCATTAGTTTCCATCAGATTCCATTATATACTCTTCCTTTCCATTCCATTCCTTTCCATTCCATTCCATTCCATTCAGTTCTTTTCCATTCCATTTGAGTCAGTTCCACACCAGTCCTTCCCATTCGAGTCCATTGCATTCCAGACCATTCCATTTGAATCCATTCCATTCTATTCCATTCGATATCTTTCCATTACACTCCATTGCAGTCTATTCCTTTCGTTTCCATTCATTTCCAGTCCATTAGATTCCTTTCCATTCGATACCATTTCATTCAACTCCATTCTGTTCGAGTCCATTCCATTCTTCCATTCCATTCCATTTAGTTCCATTCGATGCCAATCCATTCGATTCCATTTTATTCCTGTCCATTCCATTCGATTCCACTCCATTACAGTCAATTCCATTGGATTCCATTCCATTCGATTCCATTCCACTCATTTCCACTCCGTTCCATTCCTTTGCATTCCATTGTATTCCATTCCATTCCATAGTATTACATTCCATTTGATTCCATTCCATCCGAATCAATTACATTGCAATCCATTCCATTTTTGTCCATACTATTCCATTCATTTCCATTCCAGTCCATTCCTTTCGATTTCATTCCATTCGATTCCATTCCATTCAAATCAATTACATTGCAATCCATTACGTTCGAGTCCTTTCTATTCCAGTCCATTCCATTCTGGTCCATTCCATTCAATTCCATTCCATTCGATTCCATTCCATACTATTGCATTCCATTCGATTCCTTTCTATTCAAATAAGTTCCATTCGAGACCATTCCTTTAAAGTGCGTTCTATTTGATTCCATTCGTTTCGAGTCCATTACATTTGGGTCGATTCCTTTCCATTCCATTCGATGCCATTAAATTCGATTCTATTCCATTCGAATCCATTCTTTTTGAGTCCATTCCATTCCGCTCCATTCCATTCAAAGCCATTCCATTCAATTCTATTCCATTCGACTCCATTCCATTCGATTCCATTCCATGGCATTCCATTCCATTCCGTTCAATTCCAATCCTTTTGATTCCATTTTTTTCCATTCTATTCCATTCGAGTGCATTACATTCGATTCCATTCCATTGGATTCCATTTCATTCGATTCCATTCAACTCGATTCCACTCCGTTCCATTCGATTGCCTTCCATTTGTTTCCATTCCTTTGCCTTGCATTCCATTCTATTTGATTACAATCCAACAAATTCCATTCCATTCATATCAATTACATTGAAATCCATTACATTTGGGTCCATTCTATTCCAGTCCATTCCAGTTTGGTCCATTCCATTCGATTCCATTCCCTTCAATTCCATTCCATACAATTGCATTCCATTCGAGTCCATTCTAATCAAATAAATTCATTCGAGAATATTCCTTTCGAGTCCATTTATTTGAGCCCATTCCATTCGAGTCCATTACATTTGGGTCCATTTCATTCCTTTCCATTAGGTGCCATTCCATTCTATTCTATTCAATTCGAGTCCTTTCCATTTGAGTCCATTCCTTTCCATTCCATTCCATTCCATTCAATGCCATTCCATTCGATTCTAATCCATTCGACTCCATTCCATTCCATTCTATTCCATTCCATTCCATCTGATTCCATTCCATTCTATTCCTTTCCATTCAATTCCGTTCCATTCCATTCCATTCGTTTCCATTCCATTCCAGTAAATTCTTTTCGAATCCATTCCATTCTAGTCCATTCCATTCGGATTCATTCCATTCCATTCGATAACTTTCCATTAAACTCCATTACATTCTATTACATTCCATTCGATTTCTTTCCATTACACTCCATTCCGTTCTATTCCTTTTGATTCCATTCAATTCCATTCTATTCTATTCCATTCCATTCGTTTCCATTCCATTCGTCTCCATTCCATTCGAGTCCATTCCATTCCATTCCATTCCTTTCCGTTCAATTCCAATCCATTTAATTCCATTTTTTTCCAGTCCAATCCATTCGAGTCCCTTCCATTCCAGTCCATTCTATTCGATTCCGTTCCATTAAATTCCATTCCACTCCATGCCACTCCATTCCATTCCAATGCATTCCATTCTATTTCATTCCATTGCATACCATTCTATTCCATTTGATTACATTCCATTCGATTCCATTCCATTCAAATCAATTATATTGCAATCCATTACATTGGAGTCCCTTCCATTCCATTCCACTCCATTCCAATCCATTCGTTTCCATTCCATTTGAGTCAATTCCACTCCAGTCCATTCCATTCGCGTCCATTGCATTCCAATCCATTCCATTCGTGTCCATTACATTCCATTCTATATCTTCACATTACTGTCCATTCCATTCTACTCCTTTCAATTACATTCAATTCAATTCCATTGGATTGCATTCCATTCGAATCTATTCCATTTGACTCCATTCCTTTTGAGTCCATTCCATTCAATTCCATTCCATTCCGTTCCATTCGATTCCAATCCGTTCGATTCCATTTTTTTCAGTCCATTCCATTCGAGTCCATTCCATTCCAGTCCATTCCATTTGATTCCATTTCATTCGATTCCATTGCACTCTATTCCAATCCGTTCCATTCCACTGCATTCCTTTCTATTCCATTCAATTGCATTCCATTACATTCCATTTGATTACATTCCTTTCGATTCCATTCCATTCGAATCATATACATTGCAATCCATTACATTCAAGTGCTTTCTATTCCAGTGTTTTCCATTGTGCGTTATTCCATTCAATTCCATTCCATACTGTTGCATTCCATTCGATTCCATTCTATTTGAATAAATTCCATTCGAGACCATTTCTTTTGAACCCATTCTATTTGATTCCATTCCATTCGAGTCCATTACATTTGGGTCAATTCCATTCCATTCCATTACATTCTTTACCATTCCATTCTGTTCTATTCCATTCGAGTCAATTCCATTCGAGTCCATTCCATTCCATTCCTTTCCATTCCATTCAAAGCCATTCCATTATAGTGTATTCCATTCGACTCCATTCAATTCCATTCAGTTCCATCCGATTCCATTATATTCTATTCATTTCAATTCCATTCCATTCCATTCGTTTCCATTTCATTTCAGTCCATTCCTCTCCAGTCCATTCCATTCGAGTCCATTCCATTTGAGTCCGTTCCATTCCATTCTATTCCTTTCGTTATCTTTCCATTACACTCCATTCCATTGTATTCCTTTCGATTGCATTCAATTCTATTCTATTAGATTGCATTCCATTCGATTCCACTCCATTCGTCTCCATTCCATTCAAATCCATTCCATTCGACTCCATTCCATTCGATTCCATTCCACTCGATTCCACTCCATTCCATTCCATTGCATTCTGTTCTATTCCATTCCACTGCATGCCATTCAATTCCATTTGTTTACATTCCATTCGGTTCCATTCCATTCTAATCTATTACATTGCAGTCTATTACGTTCGAGTCCATTCTATTCCAGTCCATTCCATTCAGGTCCATTCAATTCGATTCCATTCCATAGTATTACATTCCATAGTATTACATTCCATTCGATTCCATTCTATTCGTATAAATACAATTCGAGACCATTCATTCTGAGTCCATTATATTTGTGTCCATTCCATTCGAGTTCTTTTCACATGGTTCCATTCCGTTCCACTACATTTCAGTCCATTCCATTCCATTCCATTCCATGCCATTCCATTCGATTCTATTCCATTCGAGTCCATTAAATTCGAGTCCATGTCACTTGATTCCATTCCATTCGATGCCATTGCATTCGATGCCATTCCATTGGATTCTATTCCATTTGACTCCTTTCCATTCCATTCCATTCCATCCGATTCCATTCCATTCCATTCCATTCCACTCCATTCCTTTCCATTTCATTCCTTTCCTTTCGTTTCCATTCCATTTGAGTCCATTCCACTCCAGTCCATTCCACTCGAGTCCATTCCATTCCAGTCAATTTGATTCAAGTCCATTCCATTCCATTCCATTCCATTTGGTATCTTTCCATTACACTCCATTCCATTCTTTCCATTCAATTCCATTCAATTCCATTCTACTCGATTCCATTCCATTTGACTGCATTCCATTCGGGTCCATTGCATTCCATTCCATTCCATTCATTTCCGTTCGATTCCAATCCTTTTGACTCCATTTTGTTCCAATCCCTTCCATTCGAGTCCATTCCATTTCAGTCAATTCCATTCGATTCCACTCCGTTTGCTTCCATTCCACTCAATTCCACTCCGTTCCATTCCATTGCATTCCATTCTATTCCATTCCATTGCATTCCATTCTATTCCATTCCATTGTATTACATTAAATTCCATTTGAATACTTTCCATTCGATTCCATTCCATTTGAGTCAATTAGATTGCAATCCAATACATTTGAGTCCGTTGTATTCCAGTCCATTCCATTCCGGTCCATTCCATTCGATTCTATTCCATAGTATTGCATTATTTTCGATTCCATTCTATTTGAATGTATTCCATTAGAGACCTTTCCCTTCATGTCCATTCCATTTGAGTCCATTCCATTTGAGTCCATTACATTTGGGTCCATTCCATTCCATTGTATACCATTCCATTTTATTCTATTCAATTCGAGTCCATTCCATTTGAGTCCATTCCATTCCATTCGACGCCATTACACGCAATTCTATTCCATTCCACTCATTTCCATTCCATTGCATTCCATCCGATTCCATTCCATTCCATTCCATTCGTTTCCATTCCATTAGAGTCCATTCCACTTGAGTCCATTCCACTCCAGTCCATTCCATTAGAGTCCATTCCATTATAGTCCATTCAATTTGAGTCCATTCAATTCCATTCCATGCTGTTCAATATCTTTCCATTTCACCCCATTCGATTCTATTCCATTCCATTCGAGTCCATTCCAAACTATTGCATTCCATTCGATTCCATTCTATTCGAATAAATTCCATTCGAGACCATATCTTTCGAGTTCATTCTATTTGAGTCTACTTCATTCGAGTCCATTCCATTTAAATCCATTCCATTCCATTCCCTTCCATTCCATTCCCTTCCATTCCTTTCCATGTCATTTCATTTGATTCTATTCCTTTCGAGTTCCTTACATTCATTTCCATTCCAATCCATTCGATGTCATTCCATTCTACTGTATTAAAATTGAGTCCATTCCATTCGATTCCAGTCCAATCCATTCCACTCCATTTGATGCCATTCCATTCTATTCTATTCCATTCGACTCTGTTCCATTCCATTACGTTCCATCCGATTCCATTCCATTCTATTCCTTTCCATTCCATTCCATTCTATTCGTTTCCATTACTTTCGTGTCCATTCCATTCGAGTCCCTTCCATTCCTGTCCATTCCATTCGAGTCCATTCCTTTCCATTCGATATCTTTCCATTACAATCCATTCCATTCCATTCCATTTGACATCTTTCCATTATATTCCATTCCATTCCATTCCATTCCTTTCGATCCCATTCAAATCCATTCCATTAGATTCCATTCCATTCGATTCCATTCCATTCGACTCCATTCCATTTGGGTCCATTCGATTCCATTCCATTCCGTTGCATTTGATTCCAATCATTTCGATTCCTTTTGTTCCAATCCATTCCACTCTATTCCATTCCATTGCATTCCATTGCATTCCATTAGATTATGTTCCATTTGAATCCATTCCATTTGAAACAATTACATTGCAATCCATTACATTGGCATCTGTTCTATTTCAGTCCATTCCATTCCGCTCCATTCCATTAGATTCCATTCTATTCGATTCCATTCTATTCGAATAAATTCCATTTCAGACCATTCTTTTGGAGTGCAGTCTATTTGAGTCCATTCAATTCGACTCCATTTCATTTGGGTCTATTGCATCCATTCCATTCCATTCCATTCCATTTCATTCCATTTCGTTCGATCCCGTTCCATTCTGTTCTATTCCATTCGATGCCATTCCATTTGATTCCATTTCTTTCCATTCCATTCCATTCGATGCCATTCCATTCGATTCTATTCCATTCCTTTCTGTTCCATCAGATTCCATTCCATTCCATTCCATTCAATGCCATTCCATTCGATTCTATTCCTTTAGATCCTTTCCATTCCATTCCATTCCACTCTATTCCTTTCCATTCCAGTCCCTTCCATTCCATTCTTTTCCATTCCATTCACGTCCATTCCACTCCAGTCCATTCCATTCGAGTCCATTCCATTCCAGTATATTCCATTTGAGTCCATACCATTCCTTTCCTTTTGATATCTTTGCATTTTACTCCATTCCATTCCATTGGTTGCCGTTCCATTATAATATATTCCTTTTGTGCCCTTTCCACTCGAGTCCATTCCACTCCATTCCATTTAATGCCATTCCATTCCATTCCATTTGACTCCATTCCACTCAATTCCATTGCATTCCATTCTATACCATTCCATTGAATTCCACTCTATTCCATTCCATGGCATTCCATTACATTACATTTGATTACATTCCATTCTATTCCATTCCACTCCAGTCTATTCCATTCCATTGCATTACATTTTATTCCATTCCAGGCATTCCGTTCCCTTCCATTTGATTACATTCCATTCGAATCCATTCCATTCGAATCTAATACATTGCAATCCATTATACTCGAGTCCGTTCTATGTCAGTCCATTCCATTCCAGTTCATTCCATTTGATTCCATTCCATTCTATTCCATTCCATACTATTGCATTCCGTTCGATTCCATTCTATTCGAATAAATTCCATTCAAGACCATTCCCTTTGATTCCATTCTATTTGAGTCCATTACATTCGAGTTTATTATATTTAGTTCCATTCAATTCTATTCTATTCCGTTCGAGTACTTTTCATTCGAGTCCATTCCATTCCATTCCTTTCCATTCCATTCCAATCCATTCCGTTCGATGCCATTTCATTCGATTCTATTCCATTCGATTCCATTTCATTGCATTCCATTCCATCCAATTCGAGTCCATTTGATACCTTTCTATTCCATTCCATTCCATTCCATTTGTTTCCATTCCGTTAGAGTCCATTCCATTCCATTCGATGCTATTCCATTCGATTCTATTCCTGTTGACTCCATTCCATCCCATTCAGTTCCATACGATTTCATTCCATTCCATTCCTTTCCATTCCATTCCATTATTTTCCCTTCCATTCGAGTCCATTCCTCTCCAGTCCATTCCATTCGAGTACATTTCTTTCCAGTCCATTTCATTCGAGTCCTTTTCCATCCATTCTTTCGATATCTTTCCTTTACACTCCATTTCATTCTATTCCTTTCGATTCCATTCAATTCCATTTTTTCAGTTCCATTCCATTCGACTCCATTCCATTCGAGCCATTCAATTGCATTCCATTCCATTCCATTCCATTCCAATCTGTTGGATTACATTTTATTCCTGTCCACTCCATTCGAGTACATTCCATTCAAGTCCATTCCATTCGAGTCCATTCCAATCCAGTCAATTACATTCAACTCCATTTCACTCCAGTCCATTACATTCGTGTCCGTTCGATTCCAATTCATTCCATTCGAGTCCATTCAATTCTATTCTAATCCATTTGATATCCTTCCATTACACTCCATTCCTTTCCATTCCATTCAATTCCATTCCATTCCCTAGCATTCTACTCCATTCCATTCGAGACATTTCCATTCCATTCCATTCCATTCCATTCCATTCCGTTTGATTCCAATCCGTTCGATTCCTTTTTCTCCCTCGTCCATTTTTTTGAGTCCATTGCATTCGATTTCATTCCATTCGATTCCATTCCATTCGATTCCACTCCACTCGATTCCACTCCGTTCATTTCCATTCCAATGCATTCCATTCTATTCAATTCCACTGCATTCCATTCCATTCCATTTGATTACATTCCATTCGATTCCATTCCATTCGAATCAATTACATTGCAATCCGCTATATTCGAGTCCGTTCTATTCCACTCCATTCCATTCCAGTCCATTCCATTCGATTTCATTCCACTTGAATTAACTCCATTCAATTCCATTTCATTCCATTCTATTCCATTCCATTGCATTCCTTTCCATTCCATTGGATTACATTCCATTCGATTCCGTTCCATTTGAATCAATTACAATGCAATCCATTACAATGGAGTCCATTCTATTCCAGTCCATTCCATTCCATTCCATTCTATTTGATTCCATTCTATTCGATTCCATTCCATACTATTGCATTCCATTCGATTCCATTCCATTCGAATAAATTCCATTAGATTCCATTCCTTTCGAGTCCATTCTATTTCAGTATGTTCCATTCGACTCCATTACATTTGGGTCCATTCCATTCCATTCCATTCCATTCCATTCCATTGGATGCAATTCCGTTTGATTCTATTCCTTTCTAGTCCTTTCCATTCTAGTCCATTCCATTTCATTCCATTACATTCCATTCCATTTGATGCCATTCCTTTGGATTCTCTTCCATTTGACTCCATTCCATTCCATGTCGTTCCATCTGATTACATTCCATTGTATTCCTTTCCGTTTCATTACATTACATTCCATTCGTTTCCATTACATTCAAATCCGTTCCACTCCAGTCCATTCCATTCGAGTCCATTACATTCCAGTCAATTCCATTCGTGTCCATTCCATTCCATTACATTCGATTTCTCTCCATTACACTCCCTTCCATTCTATCCCTTTCAATTCCATTCAATTCCATTCTATTCGATTCCATTTCTTTCAATTCCATTCCATTCGAAGCCATTCCAATCGAGTCTATTCCATTCCATTGCAATCCGTTCCTTTCCATTCCTTTCTATTCCATTCTTTTCCAATCCGTTTGATTCCATTGTTTTCCAGTCCATTCCATTCGAGTCCATTCCATTCCAGTCCACTCCATTCGATTCCATTCCATTTGATTCCATTGCACTCCATTCCATTCCGTTCCATTCCATTGCATTCCATTGTATTCCATTCCATTGCATTCCATTCTGTTGCATTCCATTCCATTCCGTTTGATTACATTCCATTTGATTCCATTCCATTCGAATCAATTACATTGTAATCCATTTAATTCGAGTCCGTTCTATTCCAGTCCATTCCATTACTGTCCTTTCCATTCATTTCCATTCCATTCGATTCCATACCATACAATTGCATTCCATTTGATTCCATTCTATTTGAATAAATTCCATTCGAGACCATTCCGTTCGAGTCCATTATATTTGAGTCCATTCTATTCGAGTCCATTACATTTGGGTGCATTCCATTCTATTTCATTCCATTCCATTCCATTCAATGCCATTCCATTCTATTCTATTCCATTCGTGTCCATTCCATTCGAGTCCATTCCATTCTTTTCCATTCCTTTCGAAGCCATTCCTTTCGATTTTTTTCCATTCTTCTCCATTTCATTCCATTCCATTCCATCCGATTCCATTCCATTCTAATCCTTTCCATTCCAATCCATTCCATTCCATTTGTTTCCTTTCCACACCAGTCAATTCCATTCGAGTCCATTCAATTCCAGTCCATTCCATTCGACTTCGTTCCATTCCTTTCCATTCAATTCGATATCTTTCCATTACACTCCATTCCTTTCTATTCCTTTCGATTCCATTCAATTCCATTCCATTGGGTTCCATTCGATTCGACTCCATTCCATTCGAGTCCATTCCATTCCTTTCCATTACATTCTGTTCTGATCGTTTCCAATCCGTTCAATTCCATTTTGTTCCAATCCGTTCCATTCGAGTCCATTTCATTCCAGTCCATTCCATTCGATTCCATTACATTCAATTCCATTCCATTCAATTCCATTCCACTTGATTCCACTCCGTTGCATTCCGTTGCATTTCATTTTAATCCATTCCATTGCCTTCAATTGCATTCCATTTCTTTACATTCCATTCGATTCCATTCCACTCATATCAATTACATTGCAATCCTTTACATTCGCATCCATTCTATTCCATTCCATTCCATTGCGATCCATGGCATTGGATTCCATTCCATTCGTTTCCATTCCATAAAACTGCATTGCTTTTGATTCCATTCTATTCGAATAAATTCCATTCGAGACCATTCATTTCGAGTCCATTCTATTGGAGTCCATTCCATTCGAGTCCATTATATTTGGGTCCATTCCATTCTATTTCTTTCCATTCCATTCCATTCGATGCCATTCGATGCCATTCCATTCTACTCTTTTCCATTGGATTCTATTTCATTCGAGTTCATTCCATTCGATTCGATTCATTCCTTTCCATTCCATTCGATGCCATTCCATTCGATTCTATTCCATTCTTCTCCATTTCATTCCTTTCCGTTCCATCCGATTCCATTCCATTCTAATCCTTTCCATTCCATTCGTTTCCATTCCTCACCAGTCAATTCCATTCGAGTCCATTCAATTCCAGTCCATTCCATTTGAGTCCATTCCATTCCATTTGATATCTTTCCATTACACTCCATTCCATTCTATTCCTTTTGATTCCATTCAATTCCATTCCATTGGGTTCCATTCAATTGGACTCCAATCCATTCGAGTCCATTCCTTTCCATTCCCTTCCATTCCGTTCCGCTCGATTCCAATCCATTCGATTCCATTTTATTCCAGTCCATTCCATTGGATTCCATTTCATTCCAGTCCATTCAATTCGATTCCATTACATTCAATTCCATTCCACTGGATTCCACTCCGTTCCATTCCATTGCATTCCATTTTGTTCCATTCCATTGCATTCCATTCCTTTCCATTTGTTTATATTCCATTCGATTCCATTCCATTCAAATCAATTACATTGCAATCCATTACATTCACGTCCATTCTAATCTCGTCCATTTCATTCCAGTCCATTGCGTTGGATTCCATTCCATTCGATTCCATTCCATACTACTGCATTCCTTTCTATTCAATTTATTAGAATAAATTGCATTCGAGACCATTCCTATCTACTCCATTCTATTTGATTCCATTCCTTTCTAGCCCTTTACATTTGGGTCCATTCCATGCAATTCCGTTCCAATCCACTCCATTCCATTACATTTGATGCCATTCCATTCTATACTATCCATTCGAGTCCATTCCATTCGAGTCCATTCGATTCCATTCCGTTCGAAGCCATTCCTTTCAATTCTATTCCATTCGACTACATTCCAATCCATTCCATTTCATCCGATTCCATTCCATTCTATTCCTTTCCATTCCATTACATTACATTACATTTCTTTCGTTTCCATTCCATTCGAGTCCATTCCAATCCAGTCCATTCCTTTTGAGTCCATTCCATTCCAGTCCATTCCATTCGAGCCCATTCCATTCCATTCTATTCCATTTGATATCTTTCCATTACACTTCACTCCATTCTGTTCCATTCGATGCCATTCCATTCTATTCGATTCGATTTGAGTCCATTCCATTCGAGTCCATTCCATACCATCCCATTCGATGTCATTCCATTGGATTCTATTCCATTCAACACCATTCCGTTTCATTCCATTCCATCCAATTCCATTCCATTCTATTCCTTTCCATTTAATTCCATTACATTCCATTGCATTCATTTCCATTCCATTTGAGTCCATTCCACTCCAGTCCATTCCATTCAATTCCATTACATTCCTGTCCATTCCTTTCGAGTCCATTCCTTTCCATTCCATTGTATTCGATACTTTTCCATTACACTCCATTCCATTCTATTCCTTTCGATTCCATTGAAGTCCATTCCATTCAATTCCATTCCCTTCGATTCCATTCCAATCGACTCCATTCCATTCGAGTCCATTCCATTCCATTCCATTCCGTGCGGTTTTATTCGAATCCGTTCAATTCCATTTTGCTCCAGTTCATTCCATTGGTGTCCATTCCATTCCAGTACCTTTCAATTGATTCCATTCCATTCGATTCCATTCCATTGGATTCCATTCCACTTGATTCCACACCATTCCTTTCCATTGCATTCCATTCCCTTTCATTTGATTACATTCCATTCGATTCCATTCCATTCAAATCCATATGATTGATGTCCATTACGTTCTTGTCCATTCTATTCCAGTCCATTCCATTCCATTCGAATCCATTCCATTCGATTGCTTTACATACTATTGCATTCCATTCTATTACTTTCTATTCTAATAAATTCCATTCAACACCATTCCTTTCAAGTCCATTCTATTTGAGTATATTACTTTCGAGTCCATTACATTTGGGTCCATTCCATTCCATTACATTCCATTGAATTCGTTGCCATTCCATTCGATTCTATTCCATTCGAGTCCATTCATTTCGAGTCTATTCCATCTCATTCCATTGCATTCCATTCCATTCCATTTGATGCCATTCCATTCGATTCTCTTCCATTCGACTCCATTCCATTCCATCCGATTCCATTCTATTCTATTCCTTTCCGTTCCATTCCATTCCATTCCAATCCATTCGTTACCATTACATTCGAGGCCATTCCACTCCAGTCCATTCCTTTCGAGTCCATTCCGTTCCAGGCCATTCCATTCGAGTCCATTCCATTCCATAACATTCTATATCTTTCCATTAGACTCAATTCCATTATATTCCTTTCAATTCCTGGATTAAGAAAATGTGGCACATATACACCATGGAATACTATGCAGCCATAAAAAATGATGAGTTCATAACCTTTGTAGGGACATGGATGAAATTGGAAACCATCATTCTCAGTAAACTATCGCAAGAACAAAAAACCAAACACCGCATATTCTCACTCATAGGTGGGAATTGAACAATGAGATCACACGGACACAGGAAGGGGAATATCACACTCTGGGGACTGTGGTGGGGTCGGGGGAGGGGGGAGGGATAGCATTGGGAGATATACCTAATGCTAGATGACTCATTTGTGGGTGCAGCGCACCAGCTTGGCACATGTATACATATGTAACTAACCTGCACAATATGCACATGTACCCTAAAACTTAGAGTATAATAAAAAAAAAAATCCATTCAGTTCCATTCTATTCGATTACATTCCATTTGATTCCATTCCGTTCGACTCCATTAATTCGAGTCCATTCCATTTCATTCCAATCCATTCCACTCCTTTCCATTCTGTTCCGTTCGACTCCAATCCACTCGAAACCATTTTGATGCAGTCCATTCCATTCAAGTCCTTTCCATTCCAGTCCATTCGATTCGAATCCATTCCATTCGATTCCATTACATTTAATTCCATTGCACACGACTCCACTCCATTCCATTCCGTTGCATTCCATTCTATTCCATTCCATTACATTCCATTCTATTCTATTCAATGGCATTCCATTCCATTCCATTTGATTACATTCCATTCGATTTCATTCCACTCCATGTTATTCCATTCCACTGCATGCCATTCTATTCCATTCCATGGCATTCCATTCCATTCCATTTGATTACATCCCATTTGATTCCATTCCATTTGCATCTATTACATTGCAATCCTTTACATTTGAGTCTGCTCTATTCCAGTCCATTCCATTCCGGTACATTCCATTCATTCCCATTTCATTCGATTCCATTCCATACTATTGTATTCCATTCAATTCCATTCTATTCGAATAAATTCCCCTCGAGACCATTCCTTTCGAATCCGTTCATTTGAGTCCATTCCATTCCAGTACATTACATCTGGTTCCATTCCATTCCATTCCATTCCATTCCAATCCATTTAATGCCATTCCATTCTCTTCTATTCCATTTGAACAAATTCCATTCGAGTCCATTCCATTCCATTCCATTCCATTGCATTCGATGCCATTCCATTTTATTTTATTCCTTTCGACTCCATTCTATTCCATTCTGTTACATCCGATTCCATTCCATTCTATTCCTCTCCATTCCATTCCATTCCATTTGAGTCCAATCCTCTCCAGTCCATTCCATTCGGGTCCATTCCATTCCATTCCATTTGAGGCCATTCCATTGGATTCTATTCCATTCAACTTCATTGCATTCCATTCCATTCCATCCGATTCTATTCCATTATATTCCTTTCCATTCCGTTCCATTCCATTCCATTCGTTTCGATTCCATTTGAGTCCATTCCACTCTAGTGAATTCTATTCGAGTCCATTCCATTCTAATCCATTCCTATCGAGTCCATACCATTCCATTCAATATCTTTCCATTACACTCCATTCCATTCTATTCCTTGTGATTCCATTCTATTCCATTCCATTTGATTCCTTGCCATTCGATTGCATTCCATTCGACTTCATTCCATTCGAGTCCATTCCATTCCATTCTGTTCAATTCCAAAACGTTCAATTCCAATTTGTTCCAGGCCATTATGTTCGAGTCCATTCCATTCCAGTTCATTCCATTCGATTGCATTCCATTCGATTCCATTACATTTGATTCCACTTGGATCAATTCCATTGCATTCTATTCTATTCCATTACATTGCATTCCATTATATTCCATGTGATTACATTCCATTCAATTTGAAGGCATCCAAATCCCCTACATTTCAATACATTACATTCGAGTCCGTTCTATTCCAGTCCATTCCATTCCGTTCCATTCCAGTCAATTCCATTCCATTCAATTCCTTTCATTACTACTGCATTACTTTCGATTCCATTGTATTCGAATAAATTCCATTTGAGACCATTCCTTTCGAGTCCATTCTATTTGAGTCCATTCCATTCGATTCCTTTACATTTGGGTCTAATCCATTCCATTCCATTCCATTCCATTTATTTCCATTCCATTCGATTCTATTCCATTAGAGACCATTCCATTCGAGTCCATTCCATTCAGTTCCATTCCAATGGATGCCATTCCATTCGATTCCATTCCATACAATTGCATTCCATTCGATTCCATTCTATTCGAATAAATTCCATTCGAGTCCATTCCTTTCGAGTCCATTCCATTTGAGTCCATTACCTTTGGGTCCATTCCATTAAATTCCATTTCATTTCATTCCATTCCATTTCATTCAATTTGATGCCATTCCATTCGATTCTGTTCCATTTGAGTCCATTCCATTCGATTCCCTTCCATTCCATTCCATTCCATTCCATTCCATTCCATGACATTCCCTTCGATTCTATTCCATCTGACTCCATTCCATTCCATTCCATTCCATCCGATTCCATTCCATTCTATCCCTTTCCGTTCCATTACACTCCATTCCATTAATTTCTTTTCCATTACATTTGATTCCATTCCTTTCCATTCCATTCCATTCCATTCAATGACATTCCAGTCGATTCTATTCCATCTGACTCCATTCCATTCCATCCGATTCCAGTCCATTCTATCCCTTTCTGTTAAATTTCATTCCATTCTATTAAATTAGTTTCAATTACATTTGAATCCATTCCATTCGTGTCCATTCCATTCCATTCCATTCCAGTCAATTCCATTCGTTTCCATTCCATTTGATTCCATTCCATTCGATTCCATTCCTTTCAATTCCATTACACTCATTTCCACTCTGATCCGTTCCATTGCATTCCATTCTATTCCATTCCATTGCATTCCATTCCAATCCATTAGATTACATTCCTTTCTATTGCATTCCATTCGAATCAATTACTTTGCTATTAATTACATTCAAGTCTGTTCTATTCCATTCTATTCCATTCCCGTCCATTCCATTCGATTCTATTCCATACTACTTTATTTCCTTCGATTCCATTCTATTAGAATAAATTCCATTCCATACCATTTCTCTCGAGTCCATTCCATTCGATTCCCTTCCATTCGAGTCCATTCTATTCGATTCCATTCCATTCGATTCCATTCCCCTCGATTCCACTCCATTCCTTTCCATGGCATTCCATTCTCTTTCATTCCATTACATTACATTCCATTCTATTCCATTGAATTGCATTCCATTGGATTCCATTCAATCGAATGAATTTCATTGCAATCCATTACATTCGAGTCCGTTCTATTCCAATCCATTCTATTCCGCTCCATTCCATTTGATTCCTTTCCATTCTATTCCATTCCATACTGTTGCATTCCTTTCGATTCCATTCTATTCGAAAAAATTCCATTGTAGACCATTCATTTCCAATTGATTCTATTTGAGTCCCTTCCATTCAAGTCCATTACATTTGGTTCCATTCCGTTCCATTCCATTCCATTCCACTCGATTCCATTCCAATCCATTCGATGCCATTACATTCCATTCGATTCCTTTCAAGTCCATTCCATTCGAGTCCATTCCATTCCATTCCATTCCAATCGATGCCATTCCATTCGCTTCTATTTCTTTCGACTCCATTCCATACCATTTCTTTCCATCCGATTCCATTCCATTCTTCTCCTTTCCATTACATTCCATTCCATTCCATACCATTTATTTACATTCCATTGGCGTCCATTCCACTCCAGTCCATTCCATTCGATTCCACTCCATTCCTTGTATTTCATTCGAGTCCACTCCTTTTCTTTCCATTCCATTCGATATATTTCCATTACACTCGATTTCATTTTAATCCTTTCGATTCCATTGAATTCGTTTCCACTCAATTCAATTTAGTTCGGTTCCATTCCATTCGAATCCATTCCATTCTATTCCCTTCTATTCCATTCCATTCCATTCCATTCCAATCCGTTCGAATGCATTTTGTTCCAGTCCTATCCATTCGAGTACATTCCATTCCAGTCCATTCCATTCGATTCCATTCCTCTTGATTCCACTCTGTTCCATTCCATTGCATTCCATTCTCTTCCATTCCATTGCATTCCATTCTATTCCATTCCATTGCATTTCATAACATTCCATTTGATTACATTCAATTCAATACCATTGCGTTCAAATCAATTACATCGCAATCTATTAAATTAGAGTCTGTTCAATTCCAGTACATTCCATTTTGGTCCATTCCATTCGATTCCATTCCATTCGATTCCATTCCATGTTATTGCATTCCATTCAATTCCATTCTATTCGAATAAATTCCTTTTGAGACCATCCCTTTCGAGTACATTCTATTTGAGTACATTCCATTCGAGTCCATTACATTTGGTTCCATTCCATTCCATTCCATTCCAATCCATTCCATACCATTAAATGCCATTCCATTCTATTTTATTCCATTTGAGTCCATTCTATTCGATTCTATTCCATTCCTTTCCATTCGATGCCATTCCATTCGATTCTATTCCATTCGACTCCATTCCATTCCATTCCATTCGACTCCATTCCATTCCATTCCATTCCATCCAATACCATTCCATTCTATTCCTTTCCATTCCATTCCATTCCATTCGTTTCCATTCCGTTCAATTCCATTCCACTCCAGTCCACTCCATTCGAATGAATTCCATTCCAGTCCATTCCATTCTATTCCATTCCATTCGATTCTATTCCACTCGATTCCTCTCCATTTCATTCCACTCTATTCCATTCTATTGCATTCCATTCCATTCCATTTGATTACATTTCATTCAATTCCATTCCATTCGAATCAATTGCATTGCAATCCATTACTTTCCAGTCCGTTTTATTCCAGTCCTCTCCATTCCAGTCCATTGCATTTGATTCCATTCCATTCGATTTCATTCCATACTATTGCATTCCAGTTGATTACATTCTATTCGAATAAATTCCATTGGAGACCATTGCTTTCGAGTCCATTCTATTTGAGTCCATTCCATTCGAGTCCATTACTTTGGGGTCCATTCCATTCCATTTCATTCCATTCCATTCCATTCGATGCCATTCCACTCGAGTCCATTCCATTCTAGGCCTCTCCGTTCGAGTCCATTGCATTCCATTCCATTCCTTTTGATGCCATTCTATTTGATTCTATTCCATTCGTATCCATTCCATTCCGTTCCAAACGAATCCATTCCATAGTTCTCCTTTCCATTCCATTCCATTCTTTTCTGTTCCATTGGATTCCATTCCACTGCAGTCTATTCCATTGGAGTCCATTCCATTCCAGTCCATTCCATTGGAGTCCATTCCATTCCATTCCATTCGATATTTCGATTACACTCCATTCCATTCTATTCCTTTCGAATCCATTAAATTCCACTCCATTTGATTCCATTCCTTTCGATTCCATTCCTTTCGACTCAATTCCATTAAAGTCCATTCCATTCCATTCCTTTCTGTTCCATTCGATTCCAATCGGTTCGATTCCATTTTGTTTCAGTCCATTACATTGGAGTCCATTCCATTCCATTCAATTCCATTCGATTCCATTCCATTGGTTTCCATTCCACTCAATTCCACTCCGTTCCATTCCATTGCATTCCATTCTAGTCAATTCCATTGCATTCCAATAAACTCAATTTGATTACATTCCATTCGATTCCATTCCATTCGAATCAATTACATTTCAATCCATTACATTCAAGTCCGTTCTATTCCACTCCATTCCATTCCTCTCCATTTCATTAGATTCCCTTCCATTCGATTCCGTTCTATTCGAATAAATTCCATTCGAGATCATTATTTTCGAGTCGAATCTATTTTATTCCATTCCATTCGAGTCCATTAGTTTTTACCCATTCCATTCCCTTCCATTCATTGCCATTCCATTCGAATCTATTCCATTTGAGTCCATTCCATTCGAGTCTATCCCATTCCATTCCATTCAATGCCATTCCATAAGATTCTATTCTTTTGACTCCATTCCATTCCATTCCGTTCCATCTGATTCCATTCAATTCTATTCTTTTCCATTCCATTCCATTAAATTCCTTCCCATTACAATGGTTTACACTCTATTCGAGTCCATTCCACTCCCGTCCATTCCATTCGAGTCCATTCCTTTCTAGGCCATTTCATTCGAGTCCATTGCATTCCATTCGATGTTTCCATAAAACTTCATTCCATTCAATTCCTTTTGATTCTATTAAATTCCATTCCATTCGATTCCATTCCATTTGGTTCCATTCAATTAGACTCCATTCCATTGGAGTCCATTCAATTCGAATCCATTCTATTCAAATCCCTTCAGTTCCAATCGGTTCCATTCCATTGTGTTGCAGTCCATTCCATTCGAGTCCATTCCATTCCAGTCCATTCCATTTGAATCCATGCCATTCCATTCCATTCGATTCCATTCCACTCGTTTCCACTCCGTTCCATTCCATTGCATTCCATTCTTTTCCATTCCATTGCATTCCATTCCATTCCATTGGATTAAATTCCATTTGATTCCATTCCATTGGATTACATTCCATTCGATTCCATTCCATTCGAATGAATTACATTGCAATCCATTACATTCGATTCCATTCCATTCCAGTCCATTCCATTATATTCAATGCCATTCCATTCGATGCTATTCCATTCTTGTCCATTCCACTCGAGTCCATTCCATTCCATTTGATGCCATTCCATTCGATTCTATTCCATTCTACTTCGTGCCCTTCCATTTCATTCCATCTAATTGCATTCCATTCTATTCATTTCCTTTCTATTCCATTCCATTCGTCTCCATTCCTTTCAAGTCCATTCCACTCCAGTCCATTCCATTCCATTACGTTACATTATATTACATTATATTCGATATCTCTCATTACCCTCCATTCCATCCTATTCCTTTTGATTCCATTCAATTCCCTTCTATTCTATTCCATTCCATTCGATTCCATTTCGTTTCAATCCGTTCCATTGGATACCATTCCATTCGATACCATTCCATTCCATGCCATGCTATTTCATTCTGTTCCTTTCGTTTACAATCCATTTGAATCCATTTTGTTCCTGTCCAATCCATTCGAGTCCATTCAATTTCTGTCCATTCTGTTTGATTCCATTCCATTTGATTGCATTCCATTCTACTCCATTCCACTGGAGTCCATTCCATTCCATGCCATTCCATTCCATTCTGTTCTGTTCCATTCCAATCTGTTCCATTCCATTTTGTTTCAGTCCAGTCCATGGTAGTCCATTCCATTCCTGTCCATTCCATTCGATTCCATTTAATTCGATTCCATTCCATTCAATTCCATTACACTCAATTCCACTCTGTTCCATGCCAATGCATTCCATTCTATTCCATTCCATTGCATTCCATTCCATTCCATTTGATTACATTCCATTCAATACCATTCCATTCGAAACAATTACATTGCATTCCATTGCATTCGATTTGCTTCTATTCCAGTCCATTCCATTCCAGTCGATTCCATTTGATTCCATTCCATTTGATTCCATTCCATACTATTGCATTCCATTCGATTCCATTCTATTCGAGTAAATTCCATTCGAGACCATTCCTTTCTAATCCATTCTATTTGAGTCCATTCCACTCGAGTCCATTACATTTGGGTCCATTCCATTCCATTCCTTTCCATTCCTTTCCATTCCATTCGATGCCATTCCGTTCGACTCTATTCCTTTCGAGTCCATTCCATTCGAGTCCATTCCATTCCATTCCATTCCATTCCATTCTTTCGTGGCCATTCCATTCGATGCTTTTCCATTCGACTCCATTGCATTCCTTTCCGTTCCATGCGATTCCGTTCCATTCTACTCGTTCCATTCCATTCCATTCATTTCCATTCCATTCGAATCCATTCCAATGCAGTCCATTCCATTCGTGTCCATTACTTTCGAGTCCATTCCATTCGAGTCCATTCCATTCCATTCCATTTGATATTTTTCCATGACACTCCATTCCATTCTATTCCTTTCAATTCAATTCAATTCCATTCTGTTGGATTGCATTCCACTCGACTCCATTCCGTTTGATTTCATTTTATTCGATTCCTTTCTTTTCGACTCGATTCCTTTCGACTCCATTCCATTCGATTCCATTTCTTTCCACTCCATTCTATTCCATTCCCTTCTGTTTGATTCCCATCCGTTCAATTCCATTTTGTTCCAGTCCATTCCATTCGAGTGCATTCCATTCTCTTCTATTCCATTCCATTCGATTCCATTCCGTTCGATTCCATTCCACTCAATACATCTCCGTTTCATACCATTGCATTGCATTCTATTCCATTCCGTTGAATTCCATTCCATTCCATTTGATTACATTCCATTCGATTCCATTCCATTCAAATCAAATACATTGCCATCCATTACATTCAGGTCCATTCTATTCCAGTCCATTCCATTGTGATCCATTCCATTCTATTCCATTCCATACTATTGCATTCCATTCTATTCCATTCTATTCGAATAAATTCCATTGAAGACCATTCCTTTCGAGTCCATTCTATTGGAGTCCATTCCATTCCAGTCCATTTCATTTTGGTCCATTCCATTACATTCCATTTCATTCCATTCCTTTCCATTCGGTGCCATTCCACTCCATTCAATACCATTTGAGTCCATTCCATTCGAGTACGTTTCATTCCATTCCATTCCATTCCATGCCATTCAATACGATTCTATTCCAATCAACTCATTTCTTTCCATTCCATTCCATCCAATTCCTTTCCTGTCTATTCCTTTCCATTCCATTCCATTACATTACACTACATTACATTCGTTTCCATTCCATTCGAGTCCATTCCACTCCAGGCCATTCCATTTGATTCCACTCCATTCCAGTCTATTCTATTCGAGTCCATTCCATTCCATAGAGTTTCATTCGATATCTTTCCATTACACTACATTCCATTCTATTCCTTTCGATTCCATTCAATTCCACACCATTTGGTTCCATTCCTTTCGACTCCTTTCCATTCGAGTCCATTCTATTCCATTCCATTCCGTTCCGTTCCATTCCATTCCAATCCGTTCGAATCCATTTAGTTCCAGTACATTCAATTCGAGTCCTTGCCATTCCAGTCCATTCCATTCTATTCCATTCCATTCGATTCCATTCCACTCGATTCCATTCCACTCGATTCAACTTCATTCCATTCCATTGCATTCCATTCTGTTCCATTTCCTTGCATTCCATTCCATTCCACTTGATTACATTCCATTTGACTGCATTCCATTCGATTCAATTACATTTCAATCCATTACTGTCAAGTCTGTTCTATTCCAGTCCATTCCATTGCAGTCCATTCCATTCGATTCCATTCCATTTGATAACAATCCACACTATTGCATTCCATTCGATTCCATCCTATTCAAATAAATTCCATACGAGACCATTCCTTTCAAGTCCATTCTATTTGACTCCATTCTATTCGAGTCCATTACATTTGGGTCCATTCCATTCCACTCCATTCCATTCCACTCCATTCCATTCGATGCCATTCCATTTGGTTCTATTCCATTCCAGTCCATTCCATTCCATCGCATTCCATTCGATGCCATTCCATTCGATTCCTTTCCATTCGACTCCATTCCATTCCATTCCGTTCCATTCGATTCCATTCCATTTGACTCCATTCCATTCCATTCCTTTCCATCCTATTCCATGCCATTCTATTCCTTTCCATTCCATTCCATTCGTTTCCATTCAATTCGATTCCATTCCATTCCATGCCATTCCATTTGTTATATTTCCATTACACTCCATTCCATTCTATTACTTTCGATTCCATTCAATTCCATTCCGTTCGGTTCCATTCCCTGCGACACCATTCCATTCAAGTCCATTCTCTTCTATTCCTTTCCATTCCATTCCATTCCAATCTGTTCGATTCCATTTTGTTCCAGTCCATTACATTCTAGGCCATTCCATTACACTCCATTCCATTTTATTTCATTCATTTCGTTTCCATTTCATTCGATTACATTCCATTCGATTCCACTCCATTCCCTTCCATTGCTTTCCTTTCTATTCCATTACATTGCATTCCATTCCATTACATTTGATTACTTACCATTCGATTCCATTCCATTCAAATCATTTACTTTGCAATCCATTACATTCTGGTCCTTTCTATTACAGTCCATTCCATTCTGGTCCGTTCCATTGGACACCATTCCATTTGATTCCATTCCATACTACTACATTCCATTCGATTCCATTCTTTTCGAATATATTCCATTCGAGACCTTTCCTTTGAGGTCATTCTATTTGACTCCATACCATTCGATTCTATTACATTTTTATCCAATCCATTCCATTCCATTCGATGCTCTTCCATTCGATTCTATTCCATTCCAGTACATTCCATTCGAGTCCATTCCATTCCATAACATTCCATTATACGCCATTCCGTTCAACTCTCTTCCGTTTGACGCCATTCCATTCCATTCCGTTCCATCTGATTCCATTTCATTCTAGTCCTTTCCATTCCATTCCACTTATTTCCATTCCATTCGAGTCCATTACGTTTGTGCCCATTCCATTCCAATCCATTCCATTCCGTTTGATGCCATTCCACTCGATTGTTTTCCATTCGACTCCATTCAGTTCCCTCCATTCCATCCAACTCCATTCCACTCTATAACTTTACATTTCATTTCATTCCTTTCCATTCCATTCGTTTCCTTTCCATTCGAGTCCATTCCATTCCAGTCCTTTCCATTCGAGTCCATTCCATTCCATTCCATTCGATATCTTTCCATTATGCTCCATTACATTCTATTCCTTTCAATTCCATTCACTTCCAATACATTTGGTTCCATTCCATTCGACTCCGTTCCATTTGAGTACATTCCATTCCATTCCATTCCATTCCATGTTGTTCCATTCGATTCCAATCCGTTCGATTCCATTTTGTTCCAGTCCATTCCATTTGAGTCCATTTCATTCCAGTCCATTCCACTTGAGTCCATTCCATTCCATTCCATTCCGATCGATGTCTTTCTATTACAGTCCATTCTATTCTATGCTATTCGATTCCATTCAATTCCATTCCAATCGATTCCATTCCATTCAATTCCTTTCCATACTATTGCATTCTTTTCGATTCCATTCTATTCGAATTAATTCCTTTCAAGACCAGTCTTTCTATTCCATTCTATTTGAATCCATTCCTTTCGAGTCCATTGCATTTGTGTCCATTCCATTCCATTCCTTTCAATGCCATTCCATTTGATTCTATTCCATTTGATTCTATTCCATTCTACTTCATTTTATACCAATCCATTCCATCCGACTGCATTTCTTTCTTTTCATTTCTATTCCATTCCTTTTTTTCCCTTCCATTCCATTCCACTCATTTCCGTTCCATTCAAGTCTATTCCTCTCCAGTCCATTCCATTTGAATCCTTTCCATTCCATTCCATTCCATTCCATTCGATATCTTTCCATTACACTCCATTCCTTTCTATTCCTTTCGATTCAATTCAATTCCATTCCATTCTATTACAGTCCACTCCATTTGACTCCACTCCATTTGAGTCCTTTCCATTCCATTCCATTCCGTTCCATTCCATTCTGTTTGATTCCTATCCTTTCGATTACATTTTGTTCCAGTTCATTCCTTTCAATTCCATTCTATTTGAGTCCATTCCATACGAGTCCATTATATTTGTGTCCATTCCATTTGTGTCCATTCCATTCCATTCCATTATATTCCATTCCATTCGAGGACTTTCCATTCGATTCTGTTCCATTCGATTCCCCTCCATTCGAGTCTATTCCTTCCATTCCATTCCATTTGATGCCTTTCCATTCGATTCTATTCCATTCGAATCCATTCCATTACATTCCGTTCTCTCCGATTTCATTCCATTCTATTCCTTTCCATTCCAATCCATTCCATTCCATTCCATTCCATTCCATTCCATTCGTTTCCATTGCATTCAAGTCCATTCCAATCCAGGCCACTCCATTCGAGTCCATTCCATTACATTCCATTCCATTCGAGTCCATTCCATTCCATTTCTTTCCATTTGATATCTTTCCGTTACACTCCATTCTATTCTATTCATTTCGATTCCATTCAATTCCATTCAATTCCATTTGATTCCATTCCAATCGATTCCATTCCATTCCATTCCTTTCCATTCCATTCCGTTCGATTCCAATCCGTTCTATTCCAAACCGTTCTATTCCATTTTGTTCCAGTCCATTTCATTTGAGTCCACTCCATTCCAGTAAATTCCATTGGATTCTATTCGATTCCATTCCATCCGATTCAATTGCACTCGATTCCACTCCGTTACATTCCATTGCATTTAATTCTCTTTCATTCCATTGCATTCCATTCCATTCCATTTGATTACATTGCATTCGTTTCCATTCGATTCGAAACAATTACATTGCAATCCATAACATTCGAGTCCGTTCTATTTCACTCCACTCCGTTCCGTTCCATTACAACTGATTCCATTCCAGTAAATTCCATTTCATAGTATCGCATTCCATTCGATTCCCTTCTATTCGAATAAATTCCATTCGAGACCATTCCTTTCGAATCCATTCTATTTGAGTCCATTCAATTCGAGTCCATTACATTTGGGTCCATTCCATTCCATTCTATTCCTTTCCATTCTATGCCATTTCATTCTATTCTATTCCATTCAAGTCCATTCCATTCGAGTCCATTCCATTCCATTCCTTTCCGTTTCATGCCATTCCATTCGATTCTATTCCATTCGACTCCATTCCATTCCGTTCCGTTCCATCCAATTCCATTCCATTCTATTCCTTTCCATTCCATTCAGTTCCATTCCAAGCGTTTCCATTGCATTCCAGTCCATTCCACTCCAGTCCCTTCCATTCGATTGCATTCCATTCCAGTCCATTCCATTCGAGTCCATTCTATTAAATTCCATTCTATTCCATATCTATCCGTTACACTCCATTGAATTCTATTCCATTCCATTCCATTCCATTTGGTTCCATTCCATTTGACTCCATTCCATTTGAGTCCATTCCATTCCATTCCATTCAATTTCTTTCCATTCCTTTCGATTCGATTCCAATCCGTTCTATTCCATTTTGTTCCAGTCCATTCCATTCGAGTCCATTCCACTCCAGTCCACTCCATTTGAGTCCACTCAATTCCAGTACATTCCATTCGAGTCCATTCCATTCCATTCGATTTCTTTCCATTACACTGCATTCCATTCTATTCTTTCAATTCCATTCCAGTCCATTCCATTCGATTTCATTCCACTCGATTGTATTCCGTTCGACTCCATTCCTTTCGAGTCCATTCCATTCCATTCCATTCCGTTCCATTAGATTCCAATCTGTTCAACTCCATTTTTTTCCTGTCTAATCCATTCGAGTCCATTATATTCCAGTCCATTCCAATCGATTACATTTCATTTGATTCCATTCCATTCGATTCCATTCCACTCGATTCCACTCCTTTCCATTCCTTTGCATTCCATTGTCTTCCTTTCCATTGACTTCCATTTCATTCCGTTTGATTACATTCCATTCAATTCCATTCCATTGGATTCCATTCCATAGTATTGCATTCCGTTCGATTCCATTCTATACGAATAAATTCCATTCGAGACCAATCCTTTTGAAGTCCATTCTATTTGAGTCGATTCCATTTGAGTACATTACATTTGGGTCCATTCCATCCCATTCCATTCCATTCCTTTCCATTCCATTCCTTTCCATTGCATTCGATGCCATTCTATTCTTTTCTATTCCATTCGAGTCCATTGCATTTGAATCCAATCCATTCCGTTCCATTCCATTTCAATCCATTCCATTTGAAACCATTCCATTGGATTCTATTGCATTCTACTGCATTTGATTCCATTCCGTTCCATCCGATTACATTCCACTTTATTCCTTTGCATGCCATTTCATTCCATTCCATTCCTTTCTAATTCATTCGTGTCCATTCCACTCCAGTCCTTTCCACTCGCCTCCATTCCACTCCTGTCCATTCCATTCGAGTCCATTCCATTCCATTCCATTCCTTTCAATATCTTTCCTTTACACTCCATTCCATTCTATTCCTTTCGAATCCATTCAATTCCATTCCATTCGATTCCATTCCAGTTGGATCCATTGCATTCGACTGCATTCTGTTCGATTGCATTCCATTCCATTCCATTCTGTTCCATTCCATTCCTTTCCTTTCGATTCCAATCCTTTCCATTCCATTTTCTTCCAGTGCATTCCATTCGAGTCCATTCCAATTCACTCCATTCCATTTGTTTCCATTCCATTCCAATCCATTCCACTCGATTCCATACCATTCCATTCCATTGCATTCCATTCTATTCCTTTCCATTGCATTTCATTCCATTCCATTTGATTACATTCCATTCGATTCCATTCCTTTCGAATCAATTACTTTGCAATCCATTACACTCGAGTCTGTTCTATTCCAGTCCATTCCATTCCAGTCCATTCCATTCGATTCCATTCCATACTCTTGCATTCCATTCAATTCCATTCTATTTGAATAAATTACAGTTGAGACCATTCCTTTTGAGTCCGTTCTTTTTCAGTCCATTCCATTTGAATCCATTACATTTGTGTCCATTCCATTCCATTCCATTCCTTTCCATTCCATTCTATTCAATGCCACTCCATTCGATTCTATTCCATTGGAGTCCATTCCATTTGAGTCTTTTGCATTCCATTCCATTCCATTCGTTGCCATTCCATTCGATTCCCTTCCATTTGACTCCATTCCATTCCATTCCGTTCCATCCAATTTCATTCCATTCTATTCCTTTCCATTCCATTCCATTCCATTCTTTTCCATTCCATTTCTGTCTATTCCATTCCATTCCTTTCCATTCGATATCTATCCATTACTCTTCATTCAATGCTATTCCTTTCAATTGCATTCAGTTCCATTCCATTTGATTTGATTAATTTCGATGCCATTTCATTCAACTCCATTCCAATCGAGTCCATTCCTTTCCATTCCATTCCTTTCCATTCCATTCCATTCCATTCCTTTCCATTCCATTCCATTCCACTTGCTTCCATTGCATTCAATTCCATTCCACACCAGTCCTTTCCATTCGAATCCATTCCATTAGTGTCCATTCCATTCGACTCCATTCCTTTCCATTCCATTCCATCCAATTCCATTCCGTTCTATTCGTGTCCCTTCTAATCCTTTCCATTCGTTTCCACTCCATTCGAGTCCTTTCCACTCCAGTCAATTCCATTCGAGTCCATTCCATTCCAGTAAATTCCATTCAAGTACATTCCATTCCATTCCATTCCATTCGATGTATTTCCATTACACTCCATTCCATTCTATTCCTTTCGTTTTCATTAAATTCCATTCCATTCTATTCTATTCCATTTGAGTCCATTCCATTTGATTCCATTCCCTTCCATTCGATGCCTTTCCATTCGATTCTATTCCATTGGACTCCATTCCATTCCATCCGATTCCATCCAATTCCCTTCCATTCTCTTCCTTTCCATTTCATTTATTTCCATTCGTTTCCATTCCATTAGTGTCCTTTCCACTCCAGTCCATTGCATTCGAGTCCATTCCATTCCATTCCATTCCATTCGATATCTTTCCATTACCCTCCATTCTTTCTATTACTTTCGATTTCATTCAATTCCATTCTATCCAATTCCATTCCATTCGATTCCATTCTATTCGACTTCATTCCATTCGGGTACATTCCATTCCATTCCGTACCATTCCATTCCATTCCACTCGATTCTGCTCCGTTACATGTTATTGCATTCAATTCTATTCCATCCCATTCCATGACATTCCATTCTATTCTATTCCATTGGAGTCCATTTCATTCGAGTCCATTGCATTCCTTTCCATTCAATTGCATTCCATTTGATTCTATTCCATTTGACTCCGTTCCGTTCCATTCCGTTCCATCCGATTCCATTCTATTCTATTTTTTTCCATTCCACTGTATTCCATTCCATTCAATACCATTCCACTCCAGTACATTCAATTCGAGTCCATTCCATTCCCGTGCATTCCATTTGAGTCCATTCCATACCATTCGTTTCCATTTGAAATCTTTCCATTACACTCCTTTCCGTTCCTTTCCATCCGATTCCTTTCCATTCAATTCCTTTCCATTCGATTCCATTCCATTCCATTCCATTCTATTCCATTCCATTCGTTTCCATTCCATTCTAGCACATTCCACTCCTGTCCATTCAATTCCAGTCCATTCCATTCCAGTCCATTCCATTCCAGTCTATTCCATTCGAGTCCATTCCATTCCAATCCATTCCATTCAATATCTTTCCATTACCCTCCATTCCATTCTATTTCTTTCGATTCCATTCAGTTCCATTCCATTCGTTTTCATTGTATTGATTACATTCCATTCAACTCCATTCCTTTTGAGTCCATTCCTTTTGAGTCCATTCCATTCCTTTCCATTCGATTCCAATCTGTTCGATTCCGTTTTTTTCCATACATTCCATTCGAGTCCCTTCCATTCCAGTCCATTGCATTCAATTCCTTGCCACTCGATTCCATTCCATTCGATTCTGTTCAACTCGATTCCAATACATTCCATTCCTTTGCATTGCATTCTATTGCATTCCATTGCATTCCATTCCAATCCATGTGGTTACATTCCATTCAATTAAATTCCATTCAAATCAATTACATTGAAATCCATTATATTCAAGTCCTTTCTATTCCAGACCATTTTATTCCATTCCATTCCATTCGATTGCATTCCATTCTATTCCATTCCATACTATTGCATTCCATTCGATTCCATTCGATTCGAATAAATTCCATTTGAGACCATTCCTTTCGAGTCCATTGTGTATGAGTCCATTCCATTTGAGTCCATTACATTTGGGTCCATTCCATTCCAACCCTTTCCATTCCATCCCATTCCATTCAATGCCATTCCATTCTGTTCTTTTTCATGCGAGTCCATTCCATTCCATTCCATTTCATTCGATGCTATTCCATTTCATTGTGTTCCAATCGACTCCATTCCATTCCATTCCATTGCATCCGATAACATTCCATTCCATTCCATTCGTTTCCATTCCATCTAGCCCATTCCATTGCAGTCCATTCAATTCGAGTCCATTACTTTCCAGTCCATTCCATTCGATTCCGTTCCATTCCATTCCATTGCATTCAAAATCTTTCCTTTACTCTCCATTCCATTCTATTCCTTTCGATTCCATTCGACTCCATTCCATTCCATGCGATTCCATTCCATTTGACTCCTTTCCATTCGAGGCCATTCCATTTCATTCCATTCCATTTCTTTCAGTTCCAATTCGTTCGATTCCATTTTGTTCCAGTCCATTCCATTCTAGTCGATTCCATTCCCGTCCATTCCAGTCAATTCCATTCCATTCCATTCCATTCAATATCTTTCCATTGCACTCCCTTCCATTCCATTCTATCTGATTCCTTTCCATTCTATTCATTTCCATTCGATTCCATTCCGTTCCATTCCATCCTGTTCCAGTCGTTTCATTTCCATTCCATTCTAGCCCATTCCACTCCAGTCCATTCAATTCGAGTCCATTCCATCCCAGTCCATTCCATTCGAGTCCATTCCATTCCATTCCACTGCATTCAATATCTTTCCGTTACACTCCACTCCATTCTATTCCTTTCGATTCCGTTCAATTCCTTTCCGTTTGATTCCATTCAATTGCATTCGATTACATTCCATTTGATTGCATTCCATTCAAGGCCATTCCATTTCATTCCATTCTATTTTGTTCGGTTCCAATCCGTGCAATTCCATTTTCTTCCAGTCTATTCCATTCGAGGCCATTCCATTCCGGTCCATGCCAATCAATTCCATTCCATTTGATTCCATTCCATTTGATTCCATTCCACTCGATTTCACTCCGGTCCATTACATTACATCCCATTCTATTCCATTCCATTGCATTCCATTCAATTCCATATGATTACATTCCATTCCATTCGAATCAAATACATTGCAATCCAATACACTGGATTCCTTTCTATTCCTTTCCATTCCATTCCGGTCCATTCCATTCTATTCCATTCCATACTATTGCATTCCATTCGATTGCACTCTATTTGAATAAATTCCATTCGGGTCCTTTCCTTTCGAGTCCATTCTATTTGAGTCCATTCCATTTGAATCCCTTACATTTGCGTCCATTCCATTCCATTTCATCCCCTTCCATTCGATGCCATTCCATTCTATTCTTTTTCATTCGAGTCCATTCCATTCAATTCCATTCCATTCCAATCCATTCCAATCCATTCCATTCCATTGCATTCCATTCAATGCCATTCCATTTGATTCTATTCCAATCGACTCCATTCCATTCCATTCCGTTCCATCCAATTCCATTCCATTCTAATCCTTTCCATTCCATTCCATTCCATTCAATTCCATTCAATTCGTTTCCATTCCATTCGAGTCCATTCCATTCCATTCGACAACATTCCATTCGATTCTATTCCATTCGACTCCATTCCATTCCATTCCATCCGTTTCCATTCCTTTCTATTCCTTTCAATTCCATTCCATTCCTTTCCATTCCATTCAATGCCATTCCATTGGATTCAATTCCATTCGACGCCATTCAGTTCCATTCCGTTCCATCCAATTCCATTCCATTCTGTTCCATTCCATTCCATTCCATTTCATTCGAGTGCATTCCATTCCAATCCTTTCCTTTTGACATCTTTCCATTACCCTGCATTCCATTCTAATCCTTTCAATTCCATTCATTTTCATTCCGTTCTTTTTCATTCCATTGATTACATTCCATTCGACTCCATTCCATTTGATTCCATTCCATTCCATTCCATTCTGTTCTATTCCATTTCAATCCATTCGTTTCCACTTTTTTCCAGTAGAATCCAATCGAGTTCATTCCATTCCATTCCATTCTTTTCCATTCCATTCCTGTCCATTCAACTCCAGTCCATCCCATTTGATTACATTCCATTCCCATCCATTCCATTCGAATCCATTCCATCGATTCCATGCCATGTGATATATTTCCATTACACTCCATTCCATTCTATTCCTTTCGATTCCATTCCATACCTTTCCATTCGATTCCATTCCATTTGACTCCATTTGATTCGATTCTATTCCATTCGACTGCATTCCATTCGAGTCAATTCCATTTCATTCCATTCCCTTCCAATCCTTTCTATTCCAATCCTTTCCATTCCATTTTGTTCCAGTCCATTCCATTCGAGTCCATTCCATTCGATTCGATTCCATTCCATTCCGTTCCATCCGATTCCATTCCATTCTATTCCTTTCCTTTCCATTCCATTCCATTCCATTCCATTCCCTTCCATTCGTTTACTTTCCATTCGAGTCCATTCCACTCCAGTCCATTCCATTGGATTCCATTCCATTAAAGTCCATTCCATTTGAGTCCATTCCATTCCATTCTATTCCATTCGATATCTTTCCATTATCTTCCATTCTTTCTATTCCTTTCACATGCATTTAATTCCATTCTATTCAATTCCATTCCATTCGATTCCATTCTGTTCGGCTCCACTCAATTCGGGTACATTCTAGTCCATTCCATTCCATTCCATTCCATCCCACTGGATTCCACTCTTTTCCATTTTATTAATTACATTCCATTCTATTCCATTCCATTCCATTCCATGCAATTCCATTCTATTCTATTCCATTCGAGTCCATTTCATTCGAGTCAATTGCATTCCATTCCATTTGATGGCAATCCATTCGATTCTATTCCATTCGACTCCATTCCATTCCATTCCATTCCATCTGATTCCGCTGTGTTCTATTCCTTCCCATTCCATTGCATTCCATTCCATTCTTTTCCATTCCACTCGAGACCATTCCACTCCAGTCCATTCCATCCGAGCCCATTCCATTCCGTTCCCTTCCATTCCATTTCATTCCATGCCATTCCATTCGATTCTATTCCTTTCAACTCTATTCCATTCTATTCCATTCCATCTGATTCCATTCCATTCTATTCCTTTCCATTCCTTTCCATTCCCTTCCATTCCATTCCATTCCATTCCATTCCATTCCATTCTTGTTTCCATTCCATTCTTGTCCATTCCTTTTCAGTCCGTTCCATTCTATTCCATTCCATTCCAGTATATTCCATTCGTGTCCATTCCATTCCATTCTATTCCATTCGACATATTTCCTTTACTCTCCATTCTTTCTATTCCTTTCGACTGCATTCAATTCCATTCTATTCAGTTCCATTCCATTCGATTCCATTCCATTGGTCTCCATTTCATATGGGTCAATTCCATTCCATTCCATTCCGTTCGATTCCATTTCACTCGGTTCCACTCCATTCCATTTTATTGCATTCCATTCTATTTCATTCCATTCCATGCCATTCCATTCTATTCTATTCCATTTGAGTCCATTCCATTCGAGTCCATTGCATTCCATTCCATTTGATTGCATTCCATTCTATTCTATTCCATTTGACTCCATTCCATTTCATTCCATTCCCTACATTTCCATTCTTTCTTTTCCTTTCCATTCCAATACATTCCATTCCATTCCTTTTCATTCCATTCCATACCATTCCACTCCAGTCCATGCCATTCAATTTCATTCCATTCCAGTCCATACCATTTGAGTCCATTCCATTCCGTTCTATTAGATTCAATATATTTCCATTACTTTCCATTCTTTCTATTCCTTTCAATTGCATTCCATTCCATTCCATTCCATTCCACTCCATTCCACTCCGTTCCATTTTATTGCATTCCATTCTATTCCATTCCATTCCATTCCATGCCATTCCATTCAATTCTATTCCATACAAGTCCGTTCCTTTCGAGTCCAGTACATTCCATTACATTCAATTGCATTCCATTCGATTCTATTCCTTTCGATTGCATTCCATGCCATTCCGTTCCTTCTGATTCCATTCCATTCTTTTCCTTTCCATTCCAATCCATTCCGTTCCATTCCTTTCCATTCCATTCGAGCCCATTCCACTCCAGTCCATACCATTCTAGCCCCTTCCATTTCAGTCTATTCCATTCGAGTCCATTCCTCTCCAGTCCACTCCATCCGAGTCCATTCCATTAGAGTCCATTCCATTAGAGTCAATTCCATTCCATTCCATTCCATTCGATATCTTGCCATTACACTACCTTCTGTTCCATTCCCTTTGATGCCATTCCAATCTATTCTGTTCCAATCGAGTTCTTTCCTTTCGATTCCATTCCATTCGAATCCATTCGATATTATTCCATTCAACTCCTCTCCATTCGACTCCATTGCATTCCATTTAGTTACATCCGATTCCATTGCATTCTATTCTTTTCCATTCCATTCCATTCCATTCGTTTCCATTCCATTCGAGTCCATTCCACTCCAGTCTATTCCATTAGAGTCCATTCCGTTCCATTCCATTCTGGTCCATTCCATTCCATTCCATTCCATTCGATATCACTGATTACACTCCATTAAATTCTATTCCTTTTGTTTCCATTCGATTCCATTCCATTCGATTCCCTTCCATTCGACTCCATTCCATTTGATGCCATTCCATTACATTCCATTCCATTTCATTCGGTTCCAATCCGTTCGATTCCATTTTGTTCCTGTCCATTCCATTCGAGTCCATTCCATTCCAGTCCATTCCAATCGATTCCAATCCATTCGATTCCATTGCATTTGATTCCATTCCACTCGATTTCACTCTGTTCCTTTCCATTGCATTCCATTCTTTTCCATTCCATTGCATTCCTTTCCATTCCGTTTGATTATATTCCATTCAATTCCATTCCATTCGAATCAATTACATTGCTATCCATGGCATTCGGGTCCGTTCTATTCCAGTCCATTTGATTCCATTCCATAATGTTGCATTCCATTCAATTCCATTCTATTCAAATAAATTCCATTCGAAACCATTCCTTTCGAGTCCACTCTATTTGATTCCATTCCATTTGAGTCCATTACATT
Source organism: Homo sapiens (assembly GCF_000001405.40). Classification (NCBI taxonomy): domain Eukaryota; kingdom Metazoa; phylum Chordata; class Mammalia; order Primates; family Hominidae; genus Homo; species Homo sapiens. The sequence goes on along the minus strand of NC_000017.11, from coordinate 21,921,146 downwards.
TGGGTCCATTCCATTCCATTCCATTCCATGCCATAGCATTCGATTCTATTCCATTCCAGGCCATTTCATTCGAGTCCATTTAATTTCATTCCATTCCATTCCATTCCATTCAATGCCATTCCAACTGATTCTATTCCATTTGAATCCATTCCATTCCATTCGGTTCCGTTCCATTCTATTCTTTTCCCTTCCATTCCATTCCATTCGTTTCCATTACATTAGAGTCCATTCCACTCCAGTCCATTCCATTCGCGTCCATTCCATTCCAGTCCATTCCATCCGAGTCCATTCCATTCCATTCAATTCGATATATTTCCTTTAAACTCCATTCCATTCTATTCTTTTCGATTCCATTCAATTCCATTCCATTCATTTCCATTCCTTTCGATTCCATTCCATTTGACTCCATTCTATTCGAGTCCATTCCATTCCATTCCATTCCTTTCCATTCCTTTCTATTCCAATCCGTTCGATTCCAATTTGTTCCACTCCATTCCATTCTAGTCCATTCCATTCCAGTTCATTCCATTCGATTCCATTCCATTCAATTCCATTCCACTCTATTCCACTCCGTTCCAATCCATTGCATTACTTTCTATTCCATTAAATTGCATTACATTCCATTCCATTTGTTTACATTATTTTCGATTCCATTCCATTAGAATCAATTACATTGCAATCCATTACATTCGAGTCCGTTCTGTTCCAGTCCAATCCATTCTGGTCCATTCCATTCGATTCCATTCCATTTGATCCCATTCCATACTATTGCACTCCATTCGATTCCATTCTATTTGAATAAATTCCTTTTGAGAACATTCCTTTCGAGTCCATTCTATTTGAATCCATTCCAGTCGAGTCCATTACATTTGGGTAAATTCCATTCCGTTACATTCAATTCATTGCCATTTCATTCCATTCTATACCATTTGAGTACATTACATTTGGGTAAATTCCATTCCGTTACATTCAATTCGTTGCCATTTCATTCCATTCTATACCATTTGAGTCCTTTCCATTCGAGTCCATTCCATTCCATTCCATTCGATGGCATTCCATTCGATTCTTTTCCTTTCGACTCGATTCCATGTCATTCCATTCCATCCGACTCCATTCCATTCTGTTCCTTTCCTTTCCATTCCATTCCATTCCATTCCATTTAAATTTTATTCGTTTCCATTCCATTGAAGTCCATTCCTCTCCAGTCCATTCCATTCGAGTCAATTCCATTCCAGTCCATTCCATCAAGTCCTTTCAATTCCATTCCATTGCATTCAAAATCTTTCCATTACACTCCATTCCATTCTATTCCTTTCAATTCCGTTCAGTTCCATTCTATTCGATTCCATTACATTCAATTCCATTCCATTCGAATTCATTCCAATCGAGTCCTTTCCATTCCATTCGTTTCTATTCGATTCAATTCCGTTTGATTCCATTTTCTTCCAGTCCATTCCATTCGAGTCCCCTCCATTCCAGTCCATTCCATTCAACTCCATTCCATTCAACTTGATTCCACTCCATTCCATTCAACTCGATTCCACTCCATTCCATTCCATTGCATACCATTCTATTCCATTCCATTTTATTCCATTCCATTCCATTTGATTAAAATCCGTTTGATTCCATTCCATTCGAAACAATTACATTGCAATCCATTACAATCGAGTCCGTTCTTATCCACTCCATTCCATTCTGGTCCATTCCATTCAATTCCATTCCATTCAATTCCATTCCATTCTATTGAATTCCATTTGATTCCATTCTATTTGAATAAATTCCATTAGAGACCACTCCTTTCAAATCCATTCTATTTGAGTCTGTTCCATTCGAGTCCATTACATTGGGGTCCATTCCATTACATTCCATTCCATTGGATGTCATTCCTTTTGATTCTATTCCATTCGAGTCCACACCTTTCGAGTCCTTTCCATTCCATTCGATGTCATTCAATTCGATTCTATTCCATTCGACTCCATTCCTTTCCATTCATTTCCATCCGATTCAATTCCATTATATTGTTTGCATTACATTCCATTCTGTTCAATTCGTTTCCTTTCCATTCGAGTCCATTCCACTCCAGTCCATTCCATTGGAGTCCAATCCATTCCAGGCCATTCCATTCTATTCCATTCCATTCCATTCGATATCTTTCCATTACACTCCCTTCCATTCCATTCCATTCGATCTCATTCCATTGTGTTCAATTCCATTCGAGTCCTTTCCATTCGAGTCTTTCCTTTCGATTCCTTTCCTTTCGATTCCTTTCCATTCCATTCCATTCAATGTCATTCCATTCGATTCTATTCCATTGGACTCTCTTCTGTTCCATTCCATTCCATCCGATTCCTTCAATTTTATTCCTTTAAATTCCATTCCATTCAATTCCATTCCATTTGTTTCCATTCCATTTGAGACCATTCCACTCCAATCTATTCCATTCGAGTCCATTCCATTCCAGTCCCTTCCATTCGAGTTCATTCCATTCCATTTGACATCTTTCCATTACACTCCCTTCCATTCCATTCCATTCGATGCCATTCCATTCTATTCTATTGCATTCGAGTCCATTCCATTCAAGTTCATTAGATTCCATTCCATTGCATTCTATCCAATGCCATTCCATTCGACTCCATTTCATTCCATTCCGTTCCATCTGATTCCATTACATTATATTCCTTTCCATTCTATTCCTTTCCATTCAATTCATTTTCTTTGCTTTCAAGTCCATTCCACTCCAGTCCATTCCATTCAAGTCTACTTCTTTCCAGTCCATTCCATTCGAGTCCTTTTCATTCCAGACCATTCCATTGGAGTCATTTCCACTCCTTTCCATCCCATTCGATATCTTTCCATTACGCTCCATTCTATTCTATTCCTTTTGATTCCATTCAATTCCATTCCATTCAGTTCCATTCCGTTCGACTCCATTTCTTGACGTCCATTCTTTTCCATTCCATTCCATTCCATTGCGTTCGATTCCAATTCGTTCGATTCTATTTTGTTCCAGTCCTTTCCAATCAACTCCATTGAATTGCAGTGCATTCCATTTGATTCCATTCCATTCGATTCCATTCCACTCGATTCCACTCCGTTCCATTCCATTGCATTCCACTCTATTCCATTCCATTGCACTGCAATTCATTCCATTTGATTACATTCCATTCGATTCCATTCCTTTCGAATAAAATACATTGCAATCCGTTACATTTGAGTCCGTTGTAGTCCAGTCCATTCCATTCTGGTCCATTCCAATTGATTCCATTCCATTCGATTCCATTCCATACTATCACATGCGATTCGATTCCATTCTTTTTGAATAAATTCCATTCGAGACCCTTCCTTTTGTGTCCATTCTATTTGTGTCCATTGCATTAGTGTCCATTACGTTTTGGTAGCTTCCATTCCATTCCATTCCATCAGATTGTTTTCCATTTTTTCCTTTCCATTCCTTTCCATTCCATTCAATTCCGTTCCATTCCATTCCATTAGTTTCCATTCCATTCGAGTCCATTCCACTCCACTTCATTCCATTCGAGTCCATTCCATTCCAGTCTTTTCCTTTCGAGTCCATTCAATTCCGTTCCATTCCATTCCATTCGATTCTTTTCCATTTGAGTCCAATCCATTCCATTCCATTCCATTCGATGGCATTTCATTCAAATCTATTCCATTCAACTCCATTCCATTCCATTCTGTTCGATCTGATTCCATTGCATTCTATTCCTTTCCATTCCATTCCATTCATTTCCATTCCATTCGAGTCTTTTCCACTCATGTCCATTCCATTCGAGTCCATTCCATTCCAGTCCATTCCATTAGAGTCCATTCCATTCCATTTGTTTCTATTCGATGTCTTTCTGTTACACTCCATTCCATTCTATTCCTTTTGATTGCATACAATACCATTCCATTCGATTCCTTTCCATTCGGTTCCATTCCATTCGACTCCATTCCATTCGAGTCCATTCCATTCCTTTCTAATCCATTCAGTTCCTTTCGTTTCCAATCAGTTCGATTCCATTTTGTTCCAGTCCATTCCATTCGAGTCCATTCCATTCGAATCCATTTCATTCGATTCCATTCCACTCGATTCCACTCACTTCCATTCCATTGCATTCCATTCTATTCCATTCCATTGCATTTCAATCCATTCCATTTGATTACATTCCATTCGATTCCATTCCATTCGCATCCATTTCATTGCAATCCATTACATTCGAATCCGTTCTATTCCAGTCCATTCCATTCCGGTACATTGCATTCAATTCCATTTCATTAAATTCCACTCCATACTATTGCATTCCATTCGATTCCATTCTATTGGAATAAATTCCCTTCGAGCCCTTTCTTTTTGAGTCCATTCTATTTGAGTCCATTCCACTCTAGTCCATTACATTTGGGACAGTTCCATTCCATTCCATTCCTTTTGATGCCATTCCTTTTGATTCTATTCCATTCGGGTCCATTACATTGGAGTCCATTCCATTCCATTCAATTCCATTCCATTCAATTCAATGCAATTCCATTGAATTCTATTCCATTTGACACCTTTCCATTCCATTCCGTTCCATCAGACTCCATTCCATTCTTTTCCTTTCCTTTCCATTCCATTACATTCTATTCCAATCCATTCCTTTGCATTCCATTCGAGTCCATTCCACTTCAGTCCATTCCATTGGAGGCTATTCCATTACAGTCCATTCCATTCGATATCTTTCCATTACACTCCATTCCATTCTATTCCTTTCAATTCCATTCAATTCCATTCCATTCTATTCCATTCCATTTGATTCCATTCCATTCGACTCTATTCCATTTGAGTCCATTCTATTCCATTCTGTTCCTTCTGTTCCTTTCAATTCCAATCCGTTTGATTCCATTTTGTTCTATTCCATTCCATTCGAGTCCATACGATTCAATTCGATTCCATTCCAGTCCATTCCATTCGATTCCATTCCATTGTACTACATTCCATTCCATTCGATTCCATTCCAGTCCATTCCACTAAATTCCATTCCATTTCATTCCATTCTCTTCCATTCGATTTCTTTCCTTTCTTTTCCATTTGATTACATTCCATTCGATTCCAATGCATTCGAATCAATTACATTGCAATCCATTTCATTCGAGTCCATTCTATTCCAGTCCATTCCATTCTGATCCATTCCATTATATTCCATTCCGTTCGATTCCATTCCATACTATTGCATTCCATTCGATTCCATTCTATTCGAATGAATTCCATTCCAGACCATTATTTTCAAGTCCATTCTGTTTGAGTCCATTGCATTCTAGTCCATGACATTTTGGTCAATTCCATTCCATTGCATTCCATTCAATTCGATGCCAATCCATTTGACTCTGTTCCATTCGAGTCCATTCCATTCCATTCCATTCCATTCCATTATAATCCATTACATTTTGGTCAATTCCATTCCATTGCATTCCATTGCATTCCATTGCATTCCATTCAATTTGATGCCAATCAATTTGATTCTATCCCATTCTATTCCATTCCATTCGAGTCCATTCCATTCCATTCCTTTCCATTTGAATGGATGCCATTCCATTCGATTCTATTCCATTTGGCACCATTCCATTCCATTACTTTCCATCGTATTCCATTCCATTCTATTCTTTTCTATTCCATTCCATTCCAATCGTTTCCATTCCATTCGAGTCCATTCCACTCCAGCCCATTCCTTATGAGTCCATTACATTCCAGGTCATTCCACTGGAGTCCATTCCATTCCATTCCATTTGATAAATTTCCCTTACACTTCATTCCATTCTATTCCTTTTGATTCCATTGAATTCCATTCCATTCGATTCCATTCCATTCCATTTTACTCTATTCCATTCAAGTCCATTCCATTCTATTCCATTCCATTCTATTCCGTTCCATGAAATTTCTTTCAATTCTATTCCTTTCCTTTCCATTCCATTCGTTTCCATTCCATTCGTGTCCTTTCCACTCCATTCTATTTCATTCGAGTTCACTCCATTCCATTCCATTCCATTCGAGTCCATTCCTTTAGATTCCATTCCATTCGATTCCATTCTACTCGATTCCACTCTGTTCCATTCCATTGCATTCCATTGTATTCCATTCCATTGCATTCCATTCCATTCCATTTGGTTACATTCCATTCGATTCCATTACTTTTGAATCAATTACATTGCCATCCATTTCATTCGAGTCCGTTCTATTCCAGTGCATTCCATTCCATTCCTTACCATTGATTACATTCCATACTATTGCATTACATTCGATTACATTCTATTGGAGTAAATTCCATTCGAGACCTTTCCTTTTAAATCCGTTCTATTTGAGTCCATTCCATTAGGGTCCATTACATTTTGTTCCACTCCATTCCATTCTTTTCCATTCCATTCGATGCCATTCCATTCTATTCTATTCCATTCGAGTCCATTCAATTCGAGGCCATTCCATTCCATTCCATTCCATTCTATGCCATTCCGTTCGATTCTATTCCATTCTATTCCAATCCACTCCATTCCATTCCATCCCATTCCATTCCTTCCTATTCATTCCATTCCATTCCAATCCATTCATTTCCTTTCCATTCGAGTCCACTCCTCTCCAGTCCATGTCATTCGAGTCCATTCCATTTCCGTCCATTCTATTCGGTTCCATTCCATTCCATTTGATATCTTTCCATTACACTCCATTCCATTCTATTCTTTCAATTACATTCAATTCCATTCCATTTGATTCCATTCCTTTTGATTCCCTTAGATTCAATTCCATGTCATTCGACTCCATTCCATTCGAGTCCATTCCATTCCATTCCGTTCTATTCCACTCCTTTCCATTCCATTTCTTTCCGGTGCATTCCATTCAAGTCCATTCCGTTCCAGTCCATTCCATTCGATTTCATTCCACTCGATTCCAATCCTTTCTATTCCATTACATCCCATTCTGTTCCATTCTGTTACATTCCAGTGTATTACATTCCATTGCATTACATTCTATTCGATTTGATTACATTCCATTCGATGCCATTTCATTCGAGTCAATTACATTGCAATCCATTACGTTCGAGTCTGTTCTATTCTAGTCCATTCCATTCCGGTCCTTTCCATTCCTTTCCGTTCGATTCCATTCCATTCGAATCAATTGCATTACAATCCATTACAACTGAGTCCATTCTATTCCATTCCATTCCATTCCGTTCCATTCCATTTGATTCCATTCCATTCGATTCCATTTCATTCTATTGCATTCCATTCGATTCCATTCCATTTGAATAAATTCCATTCGAGACAATTTCTTTCGAGTCCATTATATTTGAGACCATTCTATTAGAGTCCATTACATTTGTGTCCATTCCATTCGATGCCATTCCAATCGATTCTATTCCATTCGAGTCCATTCCATTCGAGTCCATTCCATTCCATTCCTTTCCAATCCATTTGATGCCCTTCCATTCGACTCTATTCCATTCGACTCCATTCCATTCCATTCCGTTCCGTCTGATTCCACTTCTTTTGATTCCATTCCACTCGATTCCACTCTGTTCCATTCCATTGCATTCCGTTCTATTCCATTCCATTGCTTTCCATTCCATTCCATTTGACCACATTCCATTCGATTCCATTCCATTCGAGTCAATTACAGTGCAATCCATTACATTCGAGTCCATTCTATTCCTGTCCATTGCATTCTGGTCCATTCCATTCTATTCCATTACATTCAATTCCATTCCATGCTTTTGCATTCCATTCAGTTCCATTCTATTCGACTAAATTCCATTTGAGACCATTCCATTTGAATCCATTCTATTTGAGTCCATTCCATTAAAGTCCATTACATTTTGGTCCATTCCATTCCATTCATTTCCATTCATTTCCATTCCATTTGATGACATTTCATTCGATTCTATTCCATTCAAATCCATTCCGTTTTATTCCATTCCACTTGATGACATTTCATTCGATTCTATTCCATTCAAATCCATTCCGTTTTATTCCATTACATTTCATTACATTACATTTGCTGCCATTCCATTTGATTCTATCCCATTCGATTCCAATCCATTCCATTCCATTAAATCCGGTTTCATTCCATTCTATTCGTTCCATTCCATTCCATTCATTTCCGTTCCATTGGAGTCCATTCCACTCCAATCCATGCCAGTCGAATCCTTTTGATTCCAGTCCATTCCATTCGAGTCCCTTCCATTCCAAACCATTTCATTCTGTTCCATTCGATACCAATCCATTTGATTCCATTTTGTCACGATTCCATTTTTCACGAGTCCATTTCATTCGAATCCATTCCATTTGATTCCATTCCACTCGATTCCACTCCGTTCTGTTCCATTGCATTCCATTCCATTCTATTCCATTCCTTTGCATTCCTTTCCATTCGATTACATTCCCCTCGATTCCATTCCATTCGAATCAATCACATTATAGTCCATTACATTCTAGTCCTTTCTATTCCAGTCCATTCCATTCTGGTCCATTCAACTCGATTCCATTCCTTTTGCTTCCATTCAATACTATTTCATTCCATTTGATTCCATTCTATTCAAATAAATTCCATTCAAGACCATTCCTTTCGAGTCCGTTCTCTTTGAGTCCACTCCATTCGAGGCCATTACATTTGGGTCCATTCCATTCCATTTCATTCAATAACATTCCATTTGATGCCATTTGTTTCGATTCTATTCCATTCGAGTCCATTCCATTCCATTACATTGGATGCCATTCCACTCGATTCTATTCCATTTGACTCCATTCCGTTCCGTTCCATTCCATTCCATTCCATCCCAGTCTACTCCTTTCCATTCCATTCCATTCGTTTCCATTCCATTCGAATCCATTCCACTCCAGCCAATTCCATTCAAGTCCATTCCACTCCAGTCCATTCCATTCGAGTCCATTCCAGTCAATTCAATTCAATTTCATTCCATTCGATAAATTTCCATTGCACTCCATTCCATTCTATTCCATTATATTCCATTCAATTCCATTCCATTCTATTGCATTCCATTCGGTTCCAATCCACTCGACTTCATTCCTTTCGAGTCCATTCCATTCCATTCCACTCCATTCCGTTCCATTCGATTCCAATCCATTTTATTCCAGTCCATTCCATTCGAGTCCATTCCATTCCAGTCCATTCCATTCGAATCCATTCCATTCAATTCCATTCCATTCGATTCCATTCCACCTGATTCCACTCCATTGCCTTGCATTCTATTGCATTCCATTGGTTTCCATTCCATTCCATTGGATGACATTCCATTCGATTCCATTCCATTCAAATCAATTATATTGCAATCCATTTCATTCGAGTCCACTCTATTCCAGTCCATTCCGTTCCAGTCCATTCCATTCGATTCAATTCTATTTGATTCCATTCAATACTACCGCATTCAATTCGATTCAATTCTATTCGAATGAGTTCCATTTGAGTCCCTTCCTTTCAAGTCCATTCTATTTCAATCCGTTCCATTTGAATCCATTATATTAGGGTCCATTCCATTCCATTCCAATCCATTCAATTGCATTCCATTCTATTTTATTCCATTCGAATCCATTCCATTCAAGTCCATTCCATGCCATTCCAATCCATTCCATTCCATTTGATTCCATTCCATTCGATTCTATTTCATTCGACTCCATTGCATTCCATTCCATTCCATCCGATTCCATTCCATTATATTTCTTTCCATTCCACTCCATTCGTTTCCATTCCATTCGACTCTATTTCACTCCAGTCCATTCCATTCGAGTCCATTTCACTCATGTCCATTCGATTCTAGTCCATTCCTTTCGAGTCCATTCCATTCCACTCCATTGCATTGCATTCCATTTGATATCTTTCCATTGCGCTCCATGACATTCAATTCCATTCCATTCAATTCCACTCCATTCAACTCCATTCCATTCGATTCCATTCCATTCGACTCCACTCCATTCTAGTCCATTCCATTCCATACATTTTCATTCCCTTCCGTTCAATTCCAATCCGTTTGATTCCATTTTGTCCCAAGTCCATTCCATTCGAATCCATTCCATTCGATTCCATTCCATTCGATTCTATTCCATTCAATTCCATTCCACTCGATTCCACTCTTTTCCGTTCCATTACATTCCATTCCATTCTATTCCATTCCTTTGTATTCCATTCCATTCAATTTGATTACATTCCATTCGATTCCATTCCATTCGAATCAATCACATTGCAATCCGTAACGTTCGAGTCTGTTCTATTCCAGTCCATTCCATTCCAGTCTATTCAATTCGATTGCATTCCATTCCATTCCATTCAATACTATTTCATTCCAATCGGTTCCATTCTATTCGAAAAAATTCCATTCGAGACCATTCCTTTCGTGTCCATTCTATTTGAGTCCATTCCATTCGAGTCCATTCCACTCCAGACCATCCCCTTTAAGTCCTTTCCACTCCAGTCCATTCCTTTACTGTACATTCCAGTCCATTACATTCGAGTCCATTCCATTCCATTCCATTCCATTCGATATATTTACATTGCAATCCATTCCGTTCTATTCCTTTAGATTCCATTCAGTTCCATTCCATTCGATTCCATTCCATTCGGTTCCATTCCATGCGACTCCATTCCATTCGAGTGCATTCCATTCCATTCCGTTCCATTCCCTTCCGTTCCTTTCGATTCCAATCCATTCCATTCCATTTTGATCCAGTCCATTTCATTCGAGTCCATTCCATTCCATTCCAGTCAATTTCATTCCAATCAATTCCATTCCAGTCGATTCCCCTCCATTCCATTCCATTGCATTGCATTCTATTCCATTCCAATCCATTGGATTACATTCAAATCGATTCCATTTCATTCGAGTACATTCCATTCCAGTCCATTCCATTCGACTCCATTCCATTCCATTTCATTCGATATCTTTCCATTCCCCTCCATTCCATCCTATTCCTTTTGATTCCATTCAATTCCATTCCATTCGATTCCATTCCTTTCAATTACACTCCATTTGTTTCCATTCCATTCAAGTATGTTCCACTCCATTCCATTCCATTCCATTCCATTCCATTCCATTCCAATCCGTTCATTTCCATTTTGTTCCACTCAATTCCATTCCATTCGATTCAATTCCTCTCAATTCCACTCCGTTCCGTTCTATTGCATTCCATTGTATTCCATTCCATTGCATTCCATTCCTTTCCATTTGATTATATTCCATTCCTTTCCATTCTGTTCGAATCAATTACATTGCAATCCATTACATTCAACTCCGTTCTATTGGAGTCCATTCCTTTCTGGTCCATTCCATTCAATTCCATTCCAAAGTGTTTCATTCGATTCGATTTGATTCTATTTGAATGAATTCCATTCGAGACCATTCCTTTGGAGTCCATTCTATTTGAGTGCATTCCATTTATGTCCATTACATTTGGGTCCTTTCAATTCCATACCATTCCATCCCATTCCATTCGATGCCATTCCGTTGTTTTATATTCCATTCGAATACATTCCATTCGAGTCCATTCCATTCATTCCATCTGATGCCATTCCATTCGATTCTATTCCATTCGACTCCATTCCATTCCATTCCATCCGATTCCATTCCATTCTATTACTTCCATTCCCTTCCATTCCATTCCATTCGTTTCCATTCCGTTGGAGTCCATTCCATTCCAGTGAATTCCATTCGAGTCCATTCCATTTCAGTCCATTCCTCCCGAGTCCATTCCATTCCATTCCTTTCGATATCTTTCCATTACACTCTATTCCATTCTATTCATTTTGATTCCATTCAATTCCATTCCATTCGGTTCCATTCCATTCGACTCCATTCAATTCGAGTCCATTCCATTACATTCCATTCCATTCCAATCCTTTCAATTCCATTTTATTCCAGTCCATTTCATTCGAGTACATTCCATTCCAGTCTATTCCATTCGATTCCTTTCTGTTCGATTCCATTCCTCTCTATTCCAATCCGTTCCATTCCATTCCATTGCATTCCATTCAACTCCATTTGATTACATTCCATTGGATCCATTCCATTCGAATCAATTACATTGCAATCCCTTACATTCAAGTCTGTTCTATTGCATTCCATTCCATTCGGGTCAATTCCATTCAAATCGATTCCACTCAATTCCATTCCCTATTATTGCCCTACATTCGATTCCATTCCATTGGAATAATTTCCATTCGAGACCATTCCTTTCGAGGCCCTTCTATATGAGACCATTCCATTTGAGTCCATTGAATTTGGGTCCATTCCATTCCATTCCAATCCATTCCCTTCGCTGCCATTCCATTCTATTCTATTCCCTTCGAGTCCATTCCATTCTAGTCCTTTCCATTCCATTCCATTCCATTCGATGACATTCCATTCAATTCTATTCCATTCAAATCCATTCCATTCCGTTCCGTTCCATCCGATTCTATTCCATTCTATTCCTTTCCATTTCATTCCATTACATTCCATTACATTCGTTTCCATTCCACTCGAGTCCATTGCACTCCGGTCCATTCCATTCAAGTCCATTCCATTCCAGTCCGTTCCATTTGATTCCATTCCATTCCATTGCATTCGATATCTTTCCATTACACTGCACTTCATTCTAATCTTTTCAATTCCATTCATTTGCATTCAATTCAATTCCATTCCATTCAATTCCATTCCATTCGACTCCATTCTTTTCGAGGCCATTCCATTCCATTCCTTTCCGTTTTGTTCGATTCCAATCCGTTCGATTCCATTTTGTTCCAGTTCATTCCATTCGAGTCCACTCCATTCAAGTCCATTCCAATCGATTCCATTCCAATCAATTCCATTCCATTCGATTCCATTCCACTCGATTCTGCACTGTCCCATTCCATTGCATTCCATTCTATTCCATTCCATTGCATTACTTTCCATTCCCTTTGATTCCATTCCATTCAATTCCTTTCCATTCGAATCAATTACATTGCAGTCCATTACTTTCAAGTCCGTTCTATTCCAGTCCATTCCATTCTGGTCCATTCCTTTCAATTCCGTTCCATTTGATTCCTTTCCATAATATTGCATTCCATTCGATTCCTTTCTTTTCGAATAAATTTCTTTGGAGACCATTCCTTTCGAGTCCATTATCTTTGAGTCCATTCCATACGAGTCCATTACTTTTGGGTCCATTCCACAACATTCATATTCATTCCATTCGATGCCATTCCATTCGAATCTATTCCATTCGAGTGCATTTCATTGGAGTCCATTCCATCTCAATCCATTCCATTCCTTTCAATGCCATTCCATTTGATTCTATTCTATTTGACTCCATTCCATTCAAGTCCATTCCATTCCATTCCATTCGATGTCATTCCAATGGATTCTATTCCATTCGACTCAGTTGCATTCCACTTCGCTCCATCCTATTTTATTCCATTCCATTCTATTCCATTTCATTCCATTCCATTTCTTGCCATTCCATTCGATTCTATTCCATTCGACTCCATTCCATTCCGTTCTCTGCAATAGCATTCCATTATATTCCTTTCTGTTCCATTCTCATCCAATTCTTTCCATTCCATTCATTTCCATTCTATTCGTGGGCATTCCACTCCAGTCCATTCCATTCGGGTCCTTTCCATTCCAGTCCATTCCTTTCCAGTCCATTCCATTCCTTTCCATTCCATTCATTGTCTTTCCACTACACTCCATTCCATTCTATTCCTTTCAATTCCATTCACTTTCATTCTGTTTGATTCCATTCCATTAGATTGCATTCCATTCAACTCCATTCCATTCGATTCCATTCCATTCCATTCCATTCCTTTCTGTTCCATTCCGTTCGATTCCATTTTGTTCCAGTCCATTCCATTTGAGTCCTTTCCATTCCAGTCCATTCCATTCGATTCCATACCATTTGATCCCATTCCATTCTATTCCATTCCACTGGATTCCACTCCATTCCATTCCATTGCATTCCATTCTATACCATTCTATTGCATTCCATTCCATTCCATTTCATTACTTTCCTTTCGATTCTATTCCACTCAAATCAATTGCATTGCAATCCATGACATTCAAGTCCATTGTATTCCAGTCTATTCCATTCCGGTCCATTCCATGTGATTCCCTACCATTCAATTCAATTTCATACTATTGCATTCCATTCGTTTCCATTCTATTTGAATAAATTCCATCCGAGACAATTCCTTTCGAGTTCATTCTAGTTGAGACCATTCCTGTCGAGTCCATTACATTTGGGTCCATTCCAATCCATTCCATTCGATGCCATTCCATTCCATTTCATTCTATTCCATTCGACTCCATTCCATTGGAGTCCATTCCATTCCATTCGATGCCATTCCATTCCATTCCATTCTATTCTTTTCAACTCCATTCAATTCCATTCCTTTCGATTACATTCCATTCGACACCATTCCGTTCGAGTCCATTCTCTTCCATTCCATTCTATTCTGTTCCGTTCGATTACAATCCGTTTGATTCCATTTTCTTCCAGTTCATTACATTCGAGTCCATTCCATTTCAGTCCATTCCATTCGATTCCATTCCACTGGATTCCATTTCATTTGATTCCATTCCATTCGATTCCACTTCTTTCCATTCCATTGCATTCCATTATATTCCATTCCATTCCATTTTATTCCATTCCATTGCATTCCATTCCATTCCATTTGATTACATTCCATTTGATTCCATTCCATTCGAATCAATTACATTGCAATCCATTACATTCGTGTCCACTCTATTCCTTTCCATTTCATTCCAGTCCATTCCATTCGATTCCATTCCATTCGATTCCATTCCATACTATTGCATTCCATTCGATTCCATTCTATTCCAATAAATTCTTTTCGAGGCCATTCCTTTCGAATCCATTCTATTTGTGTCCATTCCATTAGGGTCCAGTACATTTTGGTCCATTCCATTCCATTCCATTCAATGCCATTCCTTTCGTTTCTATTCCATTCGAGTCCATTCCATTCGATTCCATTCCATTCCATTCCATTTGATGGCATTGCATTCGGTTCTATTCCATTCAACTCCATTCCGTTCCATTCTGTTGCATCTGAATCCATTCCATTCTATTCCTTTCCAATCCATTCCATTCCATTCCGTCCAATTCCATTCCATTCCATTCGTTTCTATTGTGTTCGAGGCCATTCCATTCCAGTCCATTCCATTTGAGTGCTTTCCATTCCAGTCCATTCCACTCGAGGCCATTCTATTCCATTCCATTACATTCGATATTTTTCCATTACACTCCATTCTGTTCTAATCCTTTTGATTCCATTCAATTCCATTCCTTTCGGTTCCATTCCTTTCGATTCCATTCCATTTGACTCCATTCCATTCCATTCCATTCCATTCCATTATTTTGGTTCTTTTCCAATCAGTTCGATTCAATTTT
Organism: Homo sapiens; assembly: GCF_000001405.40. NCBI lineage: Eukaryota > Metazoa > Chordata > Mammalia > Primates > Hominidae > Homo > Homo sapiens. The sequence goes on along the minus strand of NC_000017.11, from coordinate 21,905,741 downwards.
GTTCCTGTCCCTTCCATTCGTGTCCATTCCATTCCAGTCCATTCCATTCGATTCCATTCCATTTGATTCCATTCAATTCGATTCCATTCCACCCCATGCCAATTCGTTCTTTCCATTGAATTCCATTCTATTCCATTTCGTTAAATTCCATTCTATTCCTTTCCATTGAATTCCATTCCATTCCATTTGATTACATTCCTTTTGATTCCATTCCATTCGAATCTATTAAATAGCAATCCATTACAGTCGAGTCTGTTCTATTCCAGTCCATTCCATTCTGGTCCATTCCATTCGGTTCCATTCCATTCAATTCCATTCCATACTATTGCATTCCATTCAATTCCATTCTATCCGAATAAATTCCACTGGAGACCATTTTTTTCTAGTCCATTCTATTTGAGTCCATTCCATTGAACTCCATTACATTTGGGTCCATTACATTCCATACCATTCCATTCAATGCCATTCCATTCTATTCTATTACATTAGAGTCTATTCCATTCGAGTCCATTCCATTCCATGCCATTCTTTTTGATTATATTCCATTCGACTTCATTGCATTCCATTTCGTTCCATCCAATTCCATTCCATTCTATTCCATTCCATTCCATTCCATTCATTTCCATTCCATGTCATTCTATTCCATTCCATTCGTATCAATTACATTGCAATCCATTACATTCGAGTCTGTTCTATTCCAGTCCATTCCATTCCGGTCCATTCCATTCGTTTCCATTCCATTAGATTTCATTCCATACTATTGCATTCCATTCGATTCCATTCTATTCAAATAAATACCATTCGAGACCATTGCTTTCAAGTCCATTCTATATGTGTCCATTCCATTCGAGTCCATTACATTTGGGTCCATTCCAAACCATTCCACTCCATTCCATTCGATACCATTCCTTTTGATTCTATTCCATTCGAGTCCATTCGATTTGAGTGCATTCCATTCCATTCCATTCGAAGCCATTCCATTTGACTGTATTCCATTCGACTCCATTCCATTCCTTTCCATTCCATCAGATTCCATTCCACTCTATTCCTTTCTGTTCCATTATATTCCATTCGTTTCCATTACATTTGAGTCCATTCCAATCCTGCCCATTCCATTGGAGTCCATTCCATTCCAGTCCATTCCATTCGAGTCAATTCCATTCCATTCCATTCCATTGGATATCTTTCCATTGCGCTCCATTCCATTCTATTCCTTTCGATTCCATTCAATTCCATTCTATTCTATTGCATTCCATTCCATTCAATTCCATTCGATTCCATTCCACTCGATTCCTCTCCATTCCATTCCATTGCATTCCATTGTATTCCATTCCTTTCCATTTGATTATATTCCATTCAATTCCATTCCATTCAAATCTATTACTTTGCAATCCACTACTTTCGAGTCCATTCTATTCCAGTCCATTCCATTCCAGTCCATTCCATTCGATTCCATTCCATTCGATTCAATTCCATTCGATTCCATTCCATACTATTGCATTCCATACGATTCCATTCTATTCGAATAAATTCCCTTCGAGACCATTCCTTTTGAGTCCATTCTGTTTGAGTCCATTCCTTTCGAGTCCATTACATTTGGGTCCATTCCATTCCATTCCATTCCATTCCTTTCCATTCCATTCAATGCCATTCCATTCGTTTCCATTCCATTCGATTCCATTCCTTTCGAATCTATTACATTGCAATTCATTACATTCGTGTCTACTCTTTTCCAGTCCATTCCATTCCCTTCCATTCCATTCAATTCCATTCCATTCTATTCCATTCCATTCTATTCCATTCAATACTATTGCATTCCATTCGATTCAATTCTACTCGAAAGAATTCCATTCGAGCCCATTCCTTTAGAATCCATTGTATTGGAGTCCATTCCATTGGAGTACATTACAGTTGTGTCCATTCCATTCCATGCTATTGCATTACATTCCATTCTATGCCATTGCATTCGACTGTATAAAATGAGAATCCATTCCTTTCGAGTCCATTCCATTCCATTCCATTCCATTTGTTGCCATTCCATTCGATTCTATTCCTTTTGACTCCATTACATTACATTCAGTTCCCTCCAATTCCATTCCATTATAATCCTTTCCATTCCATTCCATTCTTTTCTATTCCATTCGAGTCCATTCCACTCCAGTCCATTCCATTCGAGTCCATTCCACTCCTGTCCATTCCATTCGAGTCCATTCCATTCCATTCGATATCTTCCTTTGCACTCCATTCCATTCAATTCCATTCCATTCAATTCCATTCCATTCGATTCCATTCCATTCGATTCCATTCCATTCGACTCCATTCCATTCCAAATCATTTCATTCTGTTCCATTCGATATCTTCCTTTGCACTCCATTCCATTCCTTTCCGTTCCATCCCATTCCATTCCAGTCTATTCCTTTCCATTCGATTCCATTCGTTTCATTTTCATTTGAGTCCATTCCACTCCAGCCCATTCCATTCAAGTCCATTCCACTCCAGTCCATTCCATTCAAGTCCATTCTTGTCCAATCCATTCATTTCCATTCCATTTGATAACTTTCCTTTGCACCCCATTCCATTCTATTCCTTTCAATTCCATTCAATTCCATTCCATTTGATTGCTTTCGATTCGGTTCCTTTCCATTCAACTCCATTCCTTTCGAGTCCATTCCAATCCATTCCACTCCATTCTGTTCCATTCGATGCCAATCCATTCCAATCCATTTTGTTTCAGTCCATTCCATTTGAGTCCATTCCATTCCAGTCCATTCCATCCGATTCCATTCCATTCGATTCCATTCCACACGTTTCCCCTCCATTCCATTCCATTGCATTGAATTCTATTGCATTCCGTTGGTTTCCATTCCATTCCATTGGATTACATTCCACTCGATTATATTCCATTCGAATCTATTACATTACAATCCATTTCATTCGAGTCCGCTTTATTCCAATTCATTCCATTCTGGTCCATTCCATTCCATTCAATTCCATTCAATACTACTGCATTCCATTCGATTCGATTCTATTCGAATGAATTCCATTCGAGCCCATTCCTTTCAAGTCCATTCTATTTGAGTCCATTACATTTGGGTCCATTCCATTCCATTCCATTCCAATCCATTTGATAGCATTCCAGTCTATTCTATCCCATTCGAATCCATTCCATTCGAGTCCATTCCACTCCATTCCATTCCATTCCATTTGATGCCATTCCATTTGATTCTATTTCATTCGACTCCATTACATTACATTCCGTTCCATCTTATTCCATTCCATTATATTATTTTCCATTCCATTACAGTCGTTTCCATTCCATTCGAGTCCATTCCACTCCAGTCCATTCCATTTTAGTCCATTCCACAGCAGTCCATTCCATTCTAGTCCATTCCATTCCAGTCCATTCCATTCAAGTCCATTCCATTCCTTTCCTTTATACTGCATTCCATTCAATTCCATTCCATTTGATTCCATTCCATTAGATCTCATTCCATTCGACTCCACTCCATTCGGGTCCATTCCATTCAATTTCATTCCTTTCAATTCGATTCCAATCCATTCGATTCCTTTTTGTCCCATATCAATTCCATTCGAGTCCATTCCATTCGATTCCATTCAATTCGATTCCATTCCACTCGATTCCATTCCACTCGATTCTACTCTGTTCCTTTCCATTCCATTGTATTCCATTCTAATCCATTCCTTTGCATTCCATTTAATTCCATTTGATTACTTTCCATTCGATTCCATTCCATTTGAATCAATCACATTGCAATCCATTAAATTCGAGTCCAGTCTATTCCAGTCCATTCTATTCCAGTCCATACAATTCGATTCCATTGATTTGATCCCATTCCATTCGATCCCATTCCATACTGTTTCATTCCATTTGATTCAATTCTATTCGAATAAATTCCATTCGAGACCATTCCTTTTGAGTTCATTCTATCTGAGTCCATTCTATTCGAGCCCATTTCTTTGGGCCCATTCCATTCCATTCCATTCCAATCCATTCCATTTAATTCTATTCGATTGGATTCCATTCTATGCTATTCCATTTGGGTCCATTCCATTCGAGTCCATTCCATGCCATTCAGCTTGATGCCATTCCATTCGATTCTATTCCATTCGACTCCATTCCATTCCATTCCATTCCATTCCATCCCATTCCATTCCAGGATATTCCTTTCCATTCCATTCCATTCATTTCCATTCCATTCGAGTCCATTCCTATCCAGACCGTTCCCTTCAAGTCCTCTCCACTCCAGTCCATTCCTTTACTGACCATTCCAGTCCATTCCATTTGAGTCCAATCCATTCCATTCCATTGGATATCTTTACATTGCACTCCATTCCATTCTATTCCTTTAGATTCCATTCATTTCCATTCCATTAAATTCCATTCCATTCGGTTCCATTCCATTTGACTCCATTCCATTCGAGTCCTTTCCATTCCATTCCATTCCATTCCATTCCATTCCAATCCATTCCATTTCATTTTGTTCCTGTCCATTCTATTCGATTCCATTCTATTCCAGTCCATTCCTTTCGATTCCATTCCATTCAATTCCATTCCATTCGATTCCATTCCAGTCGATTCCATTCCAGTCGATTCCACTCCATTCCATTCCATTGCAGTGCATTCTATTCAATACCATTGATTTCCATTCCAATCAATTGGATTACATTCCAATCGATTCCATTCCATTTGAACCACTTACTTTGCAATCTATTACATTCGAGTCCACTCTATTCCAGTCCATTCCATTCCTGTCCATTCCATTCAATTCCATTCCATTCGATTCCATTCAATACTACTGCATTCCATTCCATTCAATTCTATTCAAATGAATTCCGTTCGAACCCATTCCTTTCAAGTCCATTCTATTTGAGTGCATTCCATTTGAGTCCATCACATTTGGGTCAATTCCATTCCATTCCATTCCATTCCGTTTGATGGCATTCCATTCTATTATATTCCATTCGAATCCATTCCATTTGAATCCATTCCACTCCATTTCATTCCATCCCATTCCATTTGATGCCATTCCATTCGATGCCATTCCATTCGATTCTATTCCTTTCAACTCCATTACATTCCATTCCGTTCCATCCGATTCCATTCCATTATAATTCTTTCCATTCCATTCCATTCGTTTGCATTCCATTTGATTCCATTCCACTCCAGTCCATTCCATTCGAGTCCATTCCTCTCCTGTCCATTTCATTCCAGACCGTTCCATTCCAGTCCATTCCATTCGAGTCCATTCCATTCCATTCCATTCGATATCCTTCCATCACACTCCATTCCATTCAATTCCATTCCATTCAATCCACTCCATTCAAATCCATTCCATTCGATTCCATTCCATTTGATTCCGTTCCATTCGGGTCCATTCTATTCCATACCATTTCATTCTGTTCCGTTGGATTCCAATCCGTTCGATTCCACTTGGTCCCAAATCCATCCCATTCAAATCCATTACATTCGATTCCATTCCATTCGATTATATTCTATTCGATTCCATTCCACTTGATTCCACTCCATTCCGTTCCATTACATTGCATTCCATTCTAATCCATTCCTTTGTATTCCATTCCATTCCATTCGTTTCCATTCCATTCGAATCAATCACATTGCAGTCCATTACATTCGAGTCTGTTCTATTCCAGTCCATTCCATTCTGGTCCATTCAATTCGATTCCATTCCATTTGATTCCATTCAATACTATTTAATTCCATTCGATTCCATTCTATTTGAATAAATTCCTTACGAGACCATTGCTTTCGAGTCCATTCTATTTGAGTGCATTCCGTTTGAGTCCATTACATTTGGGTCCATTCCATTTCATTCAATTCCATTCTATTCAATGCCATTCCTTTCGATTCTACTCCATTCGATTCCATTCCATTCGAGTCCATTCCATTCCATTCCCTTGATGCCATTCCATTCGATTATATTCCATTCAACTCCATTCTATTCTATTCCATTCCTTTCTGTTCCGTCCCATTCCATTCCAGTCTATTCCTTTCCATTCCATTCCATTCGTTTCCTTTTCATTCAAGTCCATTCCACTCCAGCCCATTCCATTCAAGTCCATTCCACTCCAGTCCATTCCATTCAAGTCCATTCCTTTCCATTCCATTCAATTCCATTTCATTTGATAACTTTCCTTTGCACCCCATTCCATTCTATTCCTTTTGATTCCATTCAATTCCATTCCATTTGATTGCTTTCCATTCGGTTCCTTTCCATTCGACTCCATTCCATTCGAGTCCATTCCAATCCATTCCACTCCATTCCATTAAGTTTGATTCCAATCCATTCCAATCCTTTTTTTTCAGTCCATTCCATTTGAGTCCATTCCATTCCTGTCCATTCCATTCGATTCCATTCTATTCAATTCCATTCTATTCGATTCCCTTCCACATGATACCCCTCAATTCCATTCCATTCCATTGCATTGCATTCTATTGCATTCCATTGCATTCCATTGGTTTCCATTCCATTCCATTGGATTACATTCCACTCGATTATATTCCATTCGAATCAATTACATTACCATCCATTATATTCAAGTCCGCTCTATTCCAGTCCATTCCATTCCGGTCCATTCCATCTGATTCTATTCCTTTCGATTCCATTCAATACTACTGCATTCCATTCGATTCGATTCTATTCGAATGAATTCCATTTGAGCCCATTCCTTTCATGTCCATTCTATTTGAGTCCATTCCATTTGAGTCCATTACATTTGGGTCCATTCCATTCCATTGCATTCCAATCCATTTGACAGCATTCCAGTGTATTCTATCCCATTCGAATCCTTTCCATTTGAGTCCTTTCCACTCCATTCCATTCCATTTGATGCCAATCCATTCGATCCTATTTCATTCGGCTCCATTACATTCCATTCTGTTCCATCCGATTCCATTCCATTATATTATTTTCCATTCCATTCCAGTCGTTTCCATTACATTCGAGTCAATTCCACTCCATTCCATTCTCGTCCATTCCATTCCAGTCCATTCCATTCGAGTCCATTCCATTTCATTCCATTCGATATCTTTCCACTATACTTAATTCCATTCAATTCCATTCCATTCAATTCCATTCCATTTGATTCCATTCCATTACATCCCATTCCATTCGACTCCATTCCATTCGGGTCCATTCCATTCAATTTCACTTTTTCCAATTCGATTCCAATTCGTTGGATTCCTTTTTGTCCCAGGTTGATTCCATTCTAGTCCATTCCATTTGATTCTATTCCATTCGATTCCATTTAATTCGATTCCATTCCACTCAATTCCACTCCGTCCCGTTCCATTCCATTGCATTCCATTCTAATCCATTCTTTGCATTCCATTCCATTCCATTTGATTACTTTCCATTCGATTCCATTCCATTCGAATCAATCACATTCCAATCTATTCCAGTCAATTCTATTCCGGTCCATACAATTCGATTCCATTCCATTCAATCCCATTCCATACTGTTTCATTCTATTCGATTCAAATCTATTTGAATAAATTCCATTCGATACCATTCCTTTCGATTTCATTTTATTTGAGTCCATTCCATTCGAGCCCATTACCTTTGGGTCCATTCCATTCCATTCCAAACCATTCCATTCCATTCAATTCGATTGCATTCCATTCTATTCTATTCCATTCGGGTCCATTCCATTCGAGTCCATTCCATTCCATTCTGTTTAATGCCATCCCATTCTATTCTATTCCATTTGACTCCATTGCATTCCATTCCATTCCATTTCATTCCATTCCATCCCATTCCATTCCATGCTATTCCTTTCAAATCTATTCCATTTATTTCCATTCCATTTGAGTCCGTTCCACTCCATTCCATTCCATTCGATATCTTTACTTTGCACTCCATTCCATTCTATTCCTTTAGATTCCATTCAGTTCCATTCCATTGGATTCCATTCCATTCGGTTCCATTCCATTCGGCTCCATTCCATTCGAGTCCATTCCATTCAATTCCATTCCATTCCGTTCCATTCGATTCCAATCCATTCCATTCCATTTTGTTCCTGTCCATTCCATTCGATTCCATTCCATTCCAGTCCGTTCCAGTCGATTCCATTCCTTCAATTCCATTCCATTTGATTCCATTCCAGTCGATTCCACTCTGTTCCATTCCATTGCATTGCATTCTATTCGATTCCATTGATTTCCATTCCAATCAATTAGATTACATTACAATCGATTCCATTGCATTTGAATAAATTACATTGCAATCCATTACATTCGAGTCCTTCTAGTCGTGTCCATTCCATTCCGGTGCATTCCATTCGTTTCCATTCCATTTGATTCCATTCTATTCGAATCAATTACATTGCAATCCATTGCATTCTACTCTTTTTTACTCCAGTCCATTCCAATCGATTCCATTCCATTCAATTGCATTCCATACTATTGAATTCCTTTCGATTCCATTCTACTCGCATAAATTCCATCCGAGATCATTTCTTTCAATTCCATTCTATTTGATTTATTGCCATTCAAGTACATTACATTTGTGTCCATTCCATTAATTTCCATTCCATTCGATGCCATTCAATTTGATTTTATTCCATTCGAGTCCATTCCATTCGAATCCATTCCATTCCATTCCATTCGATGCCATTCCATTCGATTCTATTCCATTTGACTGTATTCCATTCCATTCCGTTCCATCCGATTCCTTTCCATTCTATTGTTTTCCCTTCCATTCCATTCCATTCCATTCTTTTCCATTCCGTTCAATTCCATTCCACTCCAGTGCATTCCATTAGAGTCCGCCCCATTCCAGTCCATTCCATTTGATTCCATTCTATGCCATTCCATTCCATTCAATATCTTTCCCTTAGACTCCATTCCATTCTATTCCTTTTGATTCCATTCATTTCCATTCTATTTGATTCCATTCTATTTGATTCCACTCCATTTGACTCCATTCCATTCGTGTATGTTCCATTTCATTTGAGTATATTCCATTCCATTTCATTCCATTCCGTTCCTTGTGATTCCAATCCGTTCATTTCCATATTGTTCCTGTCAATTCCATTCCATTGAATTCCATTCCTCTCGATTCCACTCCATTCCATTCTATTGCATTCCATTCTATTTCATTCCATTGCATTCCAATCCTTTCCATTTTATTATATTCCATTCGTTTCCATTCCATTCGAATCTATTACATTGCAATCCTTTACATTCGAGTCCATTCTATTCCAGTCCATTCCTTTCTGCTCCATTCCATTCGCTTCCATTCCATTTGATTCCATTGCAAACTATTTCATTCAATTCGATTCGATTCTATTTGAATGAATTCCATTTGAGACCATTCGTTTCGAGTCCATTCTCTTTGAGTCCATTCCATTTAGGTCCATTACATTTGGGTCCATTCAATTCCATGCCATTCCATTCCATTCCATTCGATGCCATTCCGTTCTTTTTTATTCCATTCGAGTCCATTCTATTCGAGTTCATTCCATTCCATTCCATCTGATGCCATTCCATTCGATTCTATTCCATTCGACACCATTCCATTGCATTCCGTTCCATCTGATTTCGTTCCGTTCTATTGCTTTCATTCCATTCCATTCCATTCCATTCTATTCCATTGCATTCCATTCCATTCGTTTCCATTCCACTCCCGTCCATTCCATTCGAGTCCATTCCATTTCATTCTGTTCCATTCGATATCCTTCTATTACACTCCAACCCATTCCATTACATTATATTACATTCAACTCCTTTCCATTTGAGTCCATTACACTCCATTCCATTCTGTTCCTTTCGATTCCAATCCATTCGATTCCGTTTTGTCCCACGTCCATTTTATTCGATTCCATTTCCTTTGATTCCATTCCATTCCATTCCACTGGATTCCACTCCATTCCTTTCCATTCCATTGCATTCCATTCTATTCCATTCCATTGCATTCAATTCTTTTCCATTTGATTACATTCCATTCAATTCAATTCCATTCGAATCAAATAGATTGCAATCCATTATATTCGAGTCCTCTTCATTCCAGTCCATTCGATTCTGATCCATTCCATTCGATTCCATTCCATTCGATTCCATTTTTTACTATTACATTCCATTTGATTCCATTCTATTCGAATAAATTCCATTCGAGACCATTGCTTTCGATTCCAATCTATTTGAGTCCATTTCATTCGAGTCCATTACGTTTGGGACCATTCCATTCCATTACATTACATTACATTCAAGTCCATTCCATTCCATAATATTCGATGCCATTCCATTTGATTCTATTGCTTTCCACTCCATTCTCTTCCATTCCATCCGATTCCATTCCATTCCATTCCTTTCCATTCTATTCCATTGCATTCCATTCCATTCCATTCGTTTCCAGTCCATTAGTGTCCATTCGCCTCCATTCCATTCCAACTAGTCCATTCCATTCCTATCCATTCCATTCGACTCCATTCCATTCCAATCCATTCCATTTGATATCTTTCCATTACACTCCTTTCCATTCTATTCCTTTTGATTCCATTCAATTCCATTCCATTTAATTCCATTCCATTTGATTCCATTCCATTCGACTCCATTCCTTTAGATTCTGTTCCATTCCATTCCATTCCATTCCTTTCAGTTCGATTCCTATCCTTTCGATTCGATTTTGTTCCAGTCCATTCCGTTCGATTCCATTTTGTTCCAGTCCGTTCCATTCGACTCCATTCCATTCGATTCCATTCCATTCGATTCCATTCCACTCGATTCCAATCTGTTAGATTCCATTGCATTCCATTCTATTCCTGTCCATTGCATTCCATTCCATTCCTTTTGATTACATTCCATTCGATTCCATTCCATTCAAATCAATTAGATTTCAATCCATTACATTCGAGTCCATTCTATTCCAGTCCATTCCATTCCTGTCCATTCTATTCAAATCCATTCAATTCGATTCCATTCCATTCTATTGCATTCCGTTTGATTCCATTCTATTCGAATAAATTCCATTCGAGACCATTCCTTTTTAGTCCATTCTATTTGAGTCCATTCCATTCGAGTCCATAACATTTGGATCCATTCCATTCCATTCCACTCCATTCAATGCCATTCCATTTGATTCTATTCCATTTGCCTCCATTCCACTCCATTTCGTTCCATTCCATTCTATCCCATTCCATGCCATTCTATTCCATTCCATTCCATTCCATTCCATTCCATTCCATTCTTTTCCATTCATTCGAGTCCATTCCTCTCCAGTCCATTCCATACGAGTCCATTCCATTCCAGTCCATTCCATTCCATTCCATTCCTTTCGTTATCTTTCCATTACACTCCATTCCTTTCTATTCCTTTTGATTCCATTCAATCCCATTCTATTTGATTCCACTCCATTCAATTCCATTACACTTGACTCCTTTCCATTCCAGTCCCTTCCATTCCATTGCTTTCCGTTCCATTCAATTCCAAACTCTTTGATTCCATTATTTTTCAGTCCATTCCATTCGAGTGCATTCCATTCCAATCCATTCCATTCGATTCCATTCCTTTCAAATCCATGCCATTCGATTCCATTCCACTCGATTCCACTCCGTTCCATTCCATTGCATTCCATTCCATTCTATTCCATTCCATTGCATTCAATTCCATTCATTCCATTGGATTACATTCCATTTGATTCCATTCCATTCAAGCCAATTACATTGCAATCTCTTACATTCGAGACCATTCTGTTCCAGTCCATTCCATTCCAGTCCATTCAATTCTATTCCATTACATTCCATTCCATTCCATTCGAATCGATTACATTGCAATCCATTACATTCGAGTCCGTTTTCTTCCAGTCCATTCCATTCTGGTGCATTCCATTCCATTCCATTCCATTCTATTCCATTCCATACTATTTCATTCCATTCGATTCCATTCTATTCGAATAAATTCCATTCGAGGCCATTTCTTTCGAGTCCATTCTATTCGTTTCCATTCCATTCGAGTCCATTACATTTGGATCCATTCCATTCCGTTCCATTCCATTCAATGCCATTCCATTCCATTCTATTCCATTCAAGTCCATTCCATTCGAATCCATTCCATTCCATTCCTTTCGAATCCATTCCATTCCATTCCATTCCATTCCACTTGATGCCATTCCATTGGATTCTATTCCAATTCCACTCCATTCCACTCCATTTCGTTATATCTGTTTCCATTGCCTTCTATTCCTTTGCATTCCATTCCATTCCATTCCATTCCATTTGTTTCCATTCCATTCGAGTCCATTCGACTTCTGTCCATTCTGTTCCAGTCCATTCCACTCCAGACCATTCCATTCGAGTCCATTCCCTTTCATTCCATACGATATCTGTCCATTACACTCCATTCCATTCTATTCCTTTCGTCTCCATTCAATTCCATTCCATTTGATTCCATTACGTTCTATTCAATTCCTTTCGACTCCATTCCATTCGAGTCCATTCCATTCCATTCCATTCCATTCCTATCCGTTTGATTCCATTTTGTTCCAGTCCATTCCATTCGAGACCATCCCATTCCAGTCCATTCCATTCGATTCTATTACATTTGATTCCATTCCATTCGATTCCATTCCACTCGATTCCACTCCACTCGATTCCACTCCGTTCCATTCCAGTGCATTCCCTTCTATTCCATTGCATTGTGTTCCATTCTATTGCATTCCATGGCATTTGATTCTCTTGCATTTGATTACATTCCATTCGATCCCATTCCATTTGAATCTATTACATTGCAATCCATTGCATTCAAGTCCTTTCTATTCCACTCCATTCCATTCCGGTCAATTCCATTTCTATTCCATTCCATTCGATTCCATTCCATACTATTGCTTTCCATTCAATTCCATTCTGTTCGAATAAATTCCATTCCTGACCATTCCTTTCGAGTCCATTCTATTTGAGTCCTTTAAATTCGAGTCCATTACATTTGAATCTATTCCATTCCTTTCCATTCGATTCCATTCAATACCATTCCATTTGATTCTATTCCATTCGAATCCATTCCATTCGAGTCCATTCCATTCGATTCGAAGCCATTCCGTTCGATTCCATTCCATTCGTCTCCATTCCCTTCCATTCCATTCCATCCGATTCCATTCCATTCTATTCCTTTCCATTCCATTGCATTCCATTCCATTCCATTCGTTTCCTTTCCATTTGAGTCCATTCCACTCCTGTCCATTCAATTCGAGACCATTCCATTCCAGTCCATTCCATTCGAGTCCATTCCATTCCATTCCATATGATATCTGTCTTTTACACTCCATTCCATTCTATTCCTTTCGTTTCCATTCAATTCCTTTCGTTTCCATTCAATTCCATTCCATTTGATTCCATTACAATCTATTCAATTCCATTTGATTCCATTCCATTCGAGTGCATTCCATTCCATTCCATTCCATTCCGTTCGATTCCAATCCGTTCGATTCCTTTTTATTCTAGTCCATTCCATTTGAGTCCATTCCATTCCAATCCATTCCATTTGATTCCATTGCATTCGCTTCCATTCCATTCAATTCCATTCCACTCGATTCCAGTCCATTCCATTCCATTGCATTCCATTCTATTCCAGTCCATTGCATTCCATTCCATTCCATTTGATTAAATTCCATCCGATTCCATTCCATTCGAATCAATTACATTGCAATACATTACATTCGAGTCCGTTCTATTCAAGTCCATTCCATTCCCGTCCATTTCATTTGATTCCATTCCATTCTATTCCATTCCATTTTAATCAGTTACATTGCAATCCACTACATTCATGTCCTTTCTATTCCAGTCCATTCCATTCCAGTCCATTCCAATCAATTCCATTCAATTTGATTCCGTTCCATACTAGTGCATTCCATTCAATTCCATTCTATTCGAATAGATTCCATTTCAGACCATTTCTTTCGAGTCCATTCTATTTTAGTCCATTCCACTCGATTCCGTTACATTCGGGTCCATTCCATTCCACTGGGTTCCATTCCATTCCATTCGATGCGATTCCATTCGATTCTATTCCATTCGAGTCCACTCCATTTGAGTCCATTCCATTCCATTCCTTTTGATGCCATTCCATTCTATTCTATTCCATTCGACTCCATTCCTTTACATTCCATTCCATCCGATTCCATTCCATTGCATTCCTTTCCATTCCATTCATTTCCATTCCATTCGAGTGCATTCTACTCCAATCCATTGCATTCGAATCCATTCCATTCCATTCGAGTCTATTCCTTTCCATTCCATTCCATTCGATATCTTTCCATTAAACTCCATTCCTCTATATTCCTTTCATTTACATTCAATTAAATTCCATTTGATTCCGTTCCATTCGATTCCATTCCATGCTACTCCATTCCATTCGAGCCCTTTCCATTCCAGTCCATACCGTTAGATTCCATTCCATTCGATTCCGTTCCATTCGTTTCCATTGCAGTCGTTTCCAATCTGTTCCATTCCATTGCATTCCATTTTAGTTGATTCCATTGCATTCCATTCCATTCCACTTGATTAAATTCCATCCGATTCCATTCCTTTCGAATCAATTAAATTGCAATCCACTACATTCGAGTCCATTGTATTCCACTCCTTTCCATTCTGGTCCATTCCATTTGATTCCATTCCATTTGATTCCAATTCTTTCAAATCAATTACATTGCAATCCATTTCATTAGAGTCCGTTCTTTTCCAGTCCATTCCATTCTGGTCCATTCCATTCGATTTCATTCCATTCGATTCCCTTCCATACTATTGTATTCCTTTCTATTCCATTCTAGTTGAATAGATTCCATTCTAGTTGAATAGATTCCATTCGAGACCATTTCTTTCGAGTCCACTCTATTTGAGTCCATTCCATTCGAGAGCATTACATTTGGGTCCATTCCAATCCATTCCATTCCGTTCCGTTCCATTCCATTCCATTCCACTCGATGCCATTCCATTCATGTCCATTCCATTCGAGGCCATTCCATTCCTGTCCATTCCACTCCAATCCATTGCATTCCATTCCATTTGACTAAATTCCATTTGACTCCATTCCATTCGAATCAAATACATCGGAATACATTACATTCGAGTCCGTTCTATTCAAGTCCATTCCATTCCCGTCCATTCCATTCGATTCCATTGCATTCGATTCCATTCCATTAGAATCAATTACATTGCAATCCACTACATTCGTGTCCATTCTATTCCAGTAAATTCCATTCCAGTCCATTCCAATCTATTCCATTCCATTTGATTACATTCCATACTATTACTTTCCATTCGATTCCGTTCTATTCTAATAGATTCCATTTCCAACCATTTCTTTCGAGTCCATTCTATTTGAGTCCATTCCATTCGAGTACTTTACATTTGTGTCCATTCCATTCCATTCCATTCCATACCATTCTATTCGATTCTATTCCATTCGAGTCCATTCCATTCCATTCCATATGATGCCATTCCTTTCGATTCTATTCCATTCGACTCCATTCCATTCCATTCCGTTCCATCTGACTCCATTCCATTTTATTACTTTCCATTCCATTCCATTCCTTTCCATTCCATTCGGGTCCATTCCAGTGCTTTCTATTCCATTCGAGTCCATTGCATTCCATTCCTTTCCATTTGATATCTTTCCATTAAACTCCATTCCATTCTATTCCTTTCGAGTCTATTCAAATCCATTCCATTCGATTCCATTCCGTTTTATTCCATTCCATTCGACTCCATTCCATTCGAGTCCATTCCATTCTATTCCATTCCATTCAATATCTTTCCATTACACTCCATAGCATTCTTTTCCTTTTGATTTCATTCAATTCCATTCCATTCGATTCCATTCCATTCCATTCCGTCAATTCCAATCTGTTCAATTCCATTTTGTTCCAATCCATTCCATTCGAGTCCATTCCATTCCAGTCCGTTCCATTTGATTCCATTCCATTCGATTCCATTCCATTCTATTCCATTCCACTTTATTCCATTTGTTCCATTTTATTGCATTCCATTCTATTCCATTTCATTGCATACCATTCCATTCCATTTGATTACATTCCATTTGAATCCATTACATTCAAATCATTTACATTGCAAACCATTTTATTCGAGTCCGTTCTATTCCAGTCCATTCCATTCCGGTCAATTCCATTTAAATCCATTCCATTCGATTCCATTCCATGCTATTGCATTCCGTTCAAATACATTCTATTCGAATAAATTCCGTTTGACACCATTCCTTTTGAGTCCATTCTATTTGAGTATATTCCATTCGAGTCCATTACATTTGGGTGCATTTCATTCCATTCCATTCCATTCCATTCGATGCCATTCCCTTCTCTTCTATTCCGCTCGATTCCATTCCATTCAAGTACATTCCATTCCATTCCATTCAATGCCATTCCATTCGATTCTATTCCAATTGACTCCAATCCATGCCTTTCCGTTCCATCCAATTCCATTCCATTCTATTCCTTTCCTTTCCATTCCATTCCATTCCTTTCCTTTCCATTCCATTCCTTTCGAGTCCATTCCACTACAGTCCATTCCTTTCAAGTCCATTCCTTTCCAGTTCATTCCATTCGAGTCCATTCCATTCCATTCCATTCGATATCTTTCCATTACACTCCTTTCCATTCTGTTCCTTTCCATTCCATTCAATTCCATTCCATTCGATTCCATTCCATTCGGTTCCATTCCATTCTACTCCATTGCATTCGATTCCAGTCCACTCCATTCCATTGCATTCTTTTCGATTCCAATCCGTTCGATTCCATTTTTTTCCAGTCCATTCCATTCCTGTCCATTCCATTCCAGTTCATTCCATTCAATTCCATTCCATTTGATTCCCTTCCACTCGATTCCACTACACTCCATTCCATTGCATTCCTTTCTACTCCATTCAATTGCCTTCTACTCCGTTCCATTTGTTTACATTACTTTTGATTACATTCCATTCAAATCAATAACGTTGCAATACATTACATTCGAGTCCTTTCTATTCCAGTCTATTCCATTCTGCTCCATTCCATTCGATTCCATTCCATACTATTGCATTCCATTCGAATCCATTCTATTTGAATAAATTCCACTCAAGACCATTGCTTTTGAGTCCATGCTATTTGAGTCCATTCGATTCAAGTTCTTTACATTTGGGTCCATTCCATTCCATTCCCTTCCATTCCGTTCCATTCCATTCGATGCCATTCCATTTGAGTCCAATCCATTCGAGTCCGTTCCATTCCATACCATTCGATGCCATTCAATTTGATTATATTGCATTCGACTCCATTCCCTTCCATTCCATTCTATCTGATTCCATTCCATTCTATTACTTTCAATTCCATTCCATTGCATTCCCGTCCATTCAATTCGTTTCCATTCCATTCGAGTCCAATCCACTCCAGTCCAATCCATTGGAGTCCAGGCCATTCCACTCAATTGCATTCGAGTCCATTCCATTTGACTCCATTCCATTCAATTCCATTCCATACTGTTGCATTCCATTCGATTGCATTCAATTCAAATAAATTCCATTCGAGACCATTCTATCGAGTCCATTCTATTTGAGTCCATTCCATTCGATTCCATTACATTTGGGTCCTTTCCATTCCATTCCATTCGATGCCATTCCATTCCATTCTATTCCATTCGAGTCCATTCCATTCGAGTCCATTCCATTCCATTCCACTCCGTTCCATTTCATTCGAAGCCATTCAATTCCATTCTATTCCATTCGAGTCCATTCCATGGGAGTCCTTTCCATTCGAGTCTATTCCATTCGATGCCATTCCACTCGATTCCATTCCATTCGACTCCATTCCATTCCATTCAATTCCGTCAGATTCCATTCCACTCTCTTCCACTCCAATCTATTCCATACCATTCCATTCGTTTCTATTCCATTCCTGTCCATTCCACTCCAGTCCATTCCATCGGTGTCAATTCCATTCTAGTCCATTCCATTCGAGACCATTCCATTCCATTGGATTTCTTTCCAGTACACTCCATTCCATTCTATTTTTTTCAATTCCATTCAATTCCATTCTATTCGATTCCATTCCATTCGGTTCCATTCCAATCGAGTCCATTCCATTCCATTCCGCTCCGTTAGATTCCAATCCGTTCAATTCCAGTTTGTTCCAGTCCATTCCATTCGAGTCCATTCCATTCCATTCCATTCCGTTCCATTTGATTCCATTCCACTCGATTCCACTCCATTCCATTCCATTGCATTCCATTCTATTCCATTCCATTGTGTTCCATTCTATTCCATTCCATGGCATTCGATTCTGTTACATTTGATTACATTCTGTTCGATCCCATTCCATTTGATTCTATTACATTGCAATCCATTACATTCGAGTCCGTTCTATCCCAGTCCAATCCATTCCAGTCCATTCCATTCGATTCCATGCCATTCAATTCCATTCCATACTATTGCTTTCCATTGAATTCCATTCTGTTCGAATAAATTCCATTCCAGACCATTCCTTTCGAGTCCATTCTATTTGAGTCCATTCCATTCGAGTCCATTACATTTTGGTCCATTCCATTCCATTCCTTTCCATTCCATTCCATTTGATGCCATTCCATTCTATTCTATTCCATTCGAGTCAATTCCATTCGAGTCCATTCCATTCCATTCCATTAAATTCGATGCCATTCCATTCGATTTTATTCCATTGGACTCCATTCAATTCCATTCCGTTCCATCCGATTCCATTCCATTCTATTCCTTTCCATTACATTCTATTTGTTTCCATTCCATTCGAGTCCATTCCACTCCAGTCCATTCCATTCGATTCCCCTCCATTCCAGTCCATTCCATTCGAGTCCATTCCATTCCATTCCATTTGATATGTTTTCATTACACTGCATTCCATTCTATTCCTTTTGACTCCATTCAATTGCATTAGATTCAGTTCCATTCCATTCGACTCCATTCCATTCGAGTCCATTCTCTTCCATTCCATTCCGTTCCTTTCTATATCAATCCGTTCGATTCCATTTTGTTCCATTCCATTCCATTGGAGTCCATTCCATTCCTTTACATTCCTTTCAATTCCATTCCATTCGATTCCATTTCATTTGATTCTATTCCACTCAATTAAACTCCGTTCCATTCCATTGCATTCCATTCTATTCCATTCCATTGCATTCCACTCCATTCCATTTGATTATATTCCATTCTATTCCATTCCATTGCATTCCACTCCATTCCATTTGATTATATTCCATTCTATTCCATTCCATTCGAATAAATTACATTGCAATCCATTACATCCGAGTCCGTTCTATTTCAGTCCATTCCATTCCGGTCCATTCCATATGATTCCGTTCCATTCAATTCCATGCCATACTTTTGCATTCCATTCGATTGCATTCTATTTGAATAAATTCCATTCGAGACCCTTCCTTTCTAGTGCATTCTATTTGAGTTCATTCCATTTGAGTCCATTACATTTGGGTCCATTCCATTCCATTCCATTCGAAGCAATTCCATTCAATTCTATTCCATTCGAGTCCATTCCATTCCATTCCATTCGAAATGATGCCGTTCCATTTGATTCTATTCCATTCAACTCCATTCCATTCCATCCGATTCCATTCCATTCTATTCCTTTCCATTTCATTCTATTGCATTCCATTTGTTTCCATTCCATTTGAGTGCATTCCATTCCATTCAATAACATTCCATTCGAATCTATTCCAGTCAACTCCATTCCATACCATTCCGTTCCATCCGATTCCATTCAATTCTATTCTTTCCATTCCATTCCATTCCATTCCATTAGTTTCCATTCCATTCCAATCCATTCCACTCCAGTCCATTCCATTCGAGTCCGTTTCATTCCAGTCCATTCCCTTTGAGTCCATTCCATTCCATTGGATATCTTTCCATTACTCTCCATTCCATTGTATTCATTTTGATTCCATTGAATTCCATTCCAATCATTTCCATTCCATTCGACTCCATTCCATTCGAGTCCATTCCATTGCATTGCATTCCATTCCATTACATTACATTACATTCCGTTCGATTCCATTTTGTTCCCATCCATTTCATTCCAGTCCATTCCATTCCAGTCCATTCCATTCGATTCCATTCCTCTCAATTCCACTCTGTTCCATTCCATTGCATTCCATTCTGTTCCATTCCATTGCATTCCATTCTGTTCCATTCCATTGCATTCCATTCAATTCCATTTGATTACATTCCATAGGATCCATTCCATTCGAATCTATTACAATGAAATCCATTACATTCGAGTCCATTCTATTTCAGTCCGTTCCATTCCGGTCCTTTCCATTCAATTCCATTCCATTCGATTCCATTCCCTATTATTGCATTACATTCGATTCCATTCCATTGGAATAAATTCCATTCGAGACCATTCCTTCCAAGGCAATTCTATTTGAGTCCATTCCATATGAGTCCATTACATTTGGGTCCATTCCATTCCATTCCAATCCATTCCATTCCATTCCATTTGATGCAATTCCATTCTATTCTATTCCCTTCGAGTCCATTCCTTTCTAGTCCATTCCATTTAATTCTATTTGATGCCATTCCATTCGATTCTATTCCATTCGACTCCACTCCATTCCATTCCGTTCCATCCGATTCCATTCCATTCTGTTCATTTCCATTCCATTCCATTCCATTCGTTAACATTCCATTCGAGTACATTGCACTCCAGTCCATTCCAATCGAATACATTCCATTCCAGTCCATTCCATTGGATTCCATTCCATTCCATTGCATTTGATATCTTTCCATTACACTCCATTTTATTCTATTCCTTTCAATTCCTTTCAATTCCATTCCATTCGATTCCATTCCATTTGATTCCATTCCATTCGACTCCATTCTATTCGAGGCCATTCCATTCCGTTTCGTTCGATTCCAATCCGTTTGATTCCATTTTGTTCCAGTTCATTCCATTCCAGTCCATTCCATTCCATTCCATTCCAATCGATTCCATTCCATTCGATTCCACTGCACTCGATTCCACTCTGTTCCATTCCATGGCATTCCATTCTATTCCATTTCATTGCATTCCATTCCATTCTATTCAATTACATTCCATTCGATTCCATTGCATTTGAATCTATTACATTGCAATCCATTGCATTCCTGTCCGTTCTATTCCAGTCCATTCCATTCTGGTCCATTCCATTCGATTCCATTCCATTCAATTCCATTCCATAGTATTGCATTCGATTCGATTCCATTCTATTCAAATAAATTCCATTCGAGACCATTCCTTTTGATTCCATTCTGTTTGAGTGCATTTCCTTCGAGTCCATTACGTTTGGGTCCATTCCATAACATTCATATCCATTCCATTCGATGCCTTTCTATTCGAATCTATTCCATTCGAGTGCATTGCATTGGAGTCCAATCCATTTCAAACCATTCCATTCCATTCCATTCGATGCGATTCCATTCAATTCTATTCCATTCAAGTCCATTCCATTCGAGTCCATTCCATTCCATTTGATGTCATTCCAATGGATTCTTTTCCATTCGACTCCATTCCATTCCACTCCGTTCCATCATATTCCATTCCATTCTATTCCTTTCCATTCCGTTCCATTCCTTTCCATTCCATTCAATGCCATTCCATTCAATTCAATTCCATTCGAGTCCATTTCATTCCATTCCATTCTATTCCATTTCATTCCATTCCATTCCATGCCATTCCATTTGATTCTATTCCATTCGACTCCATTCCATTCCGTTCCATACACTTGCATTCCATTCTATTCATTTCCGTTCCATTCCATTCCTATTCTTTCCATTCCATTTGTTTCCATTCGATTCGAGTCCATTCCACTCCAGTCCATTCCATTCGAGTCCATTCCGTTCCAGTCCATTCCATTCGAGTCCATTCCATTCCTTTCCATTCCATTCGATATCTTTCCATTACACTCCATTCCATTCTATTCCTTTCAATTCCATTCAATTCCTTTCCGTTCGATTCCATTCCATTCGATTCCATTCCGTTCGACTCCATTCCATTCGAGTCCATTCCATTCCATTCCACTCCATTCCACTCCATTCCATTCTGTTCCATTCCGTACGATGCCATTTTTTCCAGTCCATTCCATTCGAGTCCATTCCATTCTAGTCCATTCCATTCGATTCCATTCCACTCAATTCCACTCCATTCCATTTCACTGCATTTCATTCTTTTCCATTCCATTGCATTCCATTCCATTCCATTTGATTACTTTCCTTTCAATTCAATTACATTCAAATCAATTACGTTGCAATCCATGACATTCCAGTCCTTTGCATTCCAGTCCATTCCATTCCGATCCATTCCATTCGATTCCATACCTTTCAATTCCATTCCCCACTATTGCATTCATTCGATTCCATTCTATTCGAATAAATTCGATCTGAGACCATTGCTTTCGAGTCCGTTCTAGTTGAGTCCATTCCTTTCAAGTCCATTACATTTGGTTCCTTTCCAATCCATTCCATTTGATGCCATGCCATTCCATTCCACTGTATTCCATTCGAGTCCATTCCAATTTAGTCCATTCCATTCCATTCAATGCGTTTGCATTCGAATTTATTCCATTCTACTCCATTCCAATCCATTCCATTCCATCCGACTCGATTCCATTCTATTCCATTCCATTCCATTCCATTTCATTCCATTGCATTCGTTTCCATTCCATGTGAGTCCATTCCATTCCAGTCCTTTCCTTACAAGTCCGATCCATTCCAGTCCATTCCCTTGGAGTCCATTGCATTCCATTCCATACGATATCTTTCCATTACACTCCATTCCATTCTATTCCTTTCAATTCCATTCAATTCCTTTCTATTCGATTCCAATCCATTCTATTCCATTCCACTCGACTCCATTCCAATCGAGTCCATTCCATTCCATTCCATTCGATGCCATTCCATTCTGTTCTATTCCTTTCAAGTCCATTCTTTTCCACTCCATTCCATCTGATTCCATTCCATTCCATTCCATTCCACTCTATTCCCTTCGATTCCATTCTTTTCCATTCCTTTCCATCCGATTTCATTCCATTCTATTCCATTACATTACATTACATTACATTACATTACATTACATTACATTACATTCGTTTCCATTCCATTTGAGTCCATTCCACTCCAATGCATTCTATTCGAGTCCACTCCATTCCAGTCCCTTCGATTCGAGTCCATTCCATTCGATATCTTTCCATGACACTGCATTCCACTCTATTCCTTTCAATTCCATTCAATTCCATTCCATTCAATTCCATTCCATTTGACTCCGTTCCCTTCGAGTCCATTCTCTTCCATTCCATTCCATTCTGTTCCGTTTGATTACAATCCTTTCGATTCCAATCTGTTCCAGTCCATTACATTTCAGTCCATTCCATTTCAGTCCATTCCATTCGATTCCATTCCATTGGATTCCATTTCCTTCGATTCCATTCCATTCGATTCCACTTCGTTCCATTCCATTGCATTCCACTATATTCCATTCCATTCTATTCCATTCCATTGCATTCCATTCCATTCCATTTGATTACATTCCATTCGATTCCATTCCACTCGAATCAATTACATTGCAATCCATTACATTTGTGTCTGCTCTATTCCAGTCCATTCAATTCCTGTCCATTCCATTCGATTCCATTCCATTCGATTCCATTCCATACTATTGAATTCCATTCGATTCCATTCTGTTCGAATAAATTCCATTCGAAACCATTCCTCTTGAGTCCATTCTATTTGAGTCCATTCTATTCGAGTACACTTCTTTTGGGTCCATTCCATTCCATTCCATTCCATTCGATGCCATTCCATTCGATTCTATTCCATTCAAGTCCCTTCCATTCGATTCCATTCCATTTGATGCCATTGCATTCGATTCTATTCCATTCGACTCCATTCCATTCCATTCTTTTCCATCTGATTTCATTCCATTCCATTCCTTTCATTTCCATTCCATTCGAGTCCATTCCACTCCAGTCCATTCCATTTGAGTCCTTTCCATTCCAGTCCAGTCCATTCGAGTCCATTCTATTCCATTCCATTACATTCGATATCTTTCCTTTTCACTCCATTCTGTTCTAATCCTTTTGATTCCATTCAATTCCACTGCTTTCATTTCCATTCCATTCGACTCCGCTCCATTCTACTCCATACCATTCCATTCCATTCCATTCCTTATGGTTCTATTCCAATTCGTTTTATTCAATTTTGTTCCAGTCCATTCCATTGGTGTCCATTACATTCCAGTCCATTCCATTCGATTCCATTCCTTTCTATTCCATTCATTTCGATTCCATTTCTCCCCATTCCAATGCGTTTTTTCCATTGAATTCCATTCTATTCCATTTCGTTGCATTCCATTCTATTCCATTCCATTGCATTCCATTCCATTCCATTTGATTACATTCCTTTCGATTCCATTCCATTCAAATCTATTAATTTGCAATCCATTACATTCGAGTCCATTCTATTCCAGTCCATTCCATTCCGGTCCGTTCCATTCGGTTCCATTCCATTCAATTCCATTCCATACTATTGCATTCCATTCTATTCCATTCTACACGAATATATTCCATTGGAGACCATTTATTTCGAGTCCATTCTATTAGATTCCATTCCATTCACGTCCATTACATTTGGTTCCATTCCATTCCATTCAATGCCATTCCATTCTATTCTATTACATTCGAGTCCATTTCATTTGAGTCCATTCCATTCCATTTCATTCCATTTGATGCCATTCCTTTCAATTCTATTCCATTCGACACCATTCCATTCCATTTCGTTCCATCCGATTCCATTCCATTCTATTCCTTTCCATTCCATTCCATTCTTTTCCATTTCATTTCATTCGATTCTATTCCATTCAAATCAATTACATTGTAATCCATTATATTCGAGTCCGTTTTATTCCACTCCTTTCCATTCCGGTCCATTCCATTCAATTCCATTCCATTAGATTCCATTCCATACTATTGCATTCCATTCGATTCCTTTCCATTCGAATAAATAACATTCGAGACCATTGCTTTCGAGTCCATTCTATTTGAGTCCATTCCGTTTGACTCCATTACATTTGGGTCCATTCCATTCCATTCCATTCCATTCCTTGCCATTCCATTAGATTCTGTACCATTCGTGCCCATTCTTTTCGAGTCCATTCCATTCCATGCCATTGCATTCGATTCTATTCCATTTGACTCCATTCTATTCCAATCCATTCCATCTGATTCCATTCTATTTTATTCCTTTCCATTCCATTCCTTTCCAATCCATTTGTTTCCATTCCATTCAATTCGATTCCACTCCATCCATTCCACTCGATTCCATTCCATTCCAGTCCATTCCATTTGAGTCCATTCCATTCAACTCCATTCCATTCGAGTCCATTGCATTCCATTCCATTCTATTCCATGCCATTCGATTCCAATCCCTTTGATTCCATTTTTTTCCAGTCCATTCCATTCTAATACATTCCGTTCCAGTGCATTCCAAACGATTCCATTCCATACGATTCCATTCCACTCGATTTGACTCCGTTCCATTCCATTGCATTCCATTCTATTCCATTCCGTTGCATTCCATTGCATTCCATTTGATTACATTCCATTCTATACCATTCTATTCGTATCAATTACTTTGCAGTCCATTACATTTGAGTCCGTTGTATTCCAGTCCATTCCATTCCAATTCATTCCATTTGATTCCTTTGCATTCAATTCCATTCCATACTATTGCATTCCATTCGATTCCATTCTATTCGAATAAATTCCATTTGAGACCATTCCATTCTAGTCCATTCTATTTGAGTCCATTCCATTTGTGTCCATTACATTTGGGTCCATTCCATTCCATTCCATTCAGTTTGATGCCATTCCATTCAATTCTATTCCATTCGAGTCCATTCCATTCGAGTACTTTCCATTCCATTTGAGTACTTTCCATTCCATTCCATTCCACTCCATTCCATTCGATGTCATTCCAATGGATTTTATTCCATTCGACTCCATTCCATTCCATTCCGTTCCATCTGATTCCATGCCATTCTGTTCCTTTCCATTCCATTCCATTCGTTTCCATTCCTTTTGCGTCCATTCCACTCCAGTCCATTTCCAGTCCAATCGATTCCATTCCGTTGGATTCCATTCCATTCGATTCAATTCCATTCGATTCCAATCCGTTCCATTCCATTGCATTCCATTCTATTCCATTCCATTGCATTTGATTCCAATCCATTTTAATACATTCCATTCGATCCCATTCCATTCGAATGAATTAGATTGCAGTCCATTACATTCGTGTCTCTTCTATTCTAGTCTATTCCATTTCGTTCCATTCTGTTCGATTCCAATCCGTTCGATTCCATATTTTCCATTCCATTCCATTCGAGTCCATTCCATTACAGTCTATTCCATATGATTGCTTTCCATTCCATTCCATTCGATTTCATTCCACTCGATTCCACTCCGCTCCATTCAATTGCATTCCATTCTATTCCATTCCATTGCATTCCATTCTATTCCATTCCATTGCATTCCATTCCAATCCATTTGATTACATTCCATTCGATTCCATTCCATTTGAATCAATTACATTGCAATCCATTACATTCGAGTCCACTGTATACCTGTCCATTCCATTCCAGTTCATTCCATTCGATTCCATTCAGTTTGATTGCATTCCATACTATTGCATTCCATTCGATTCCATTCTATTTGAATAAATTCCATTCGAGACCATTCCTTTCCAGTCCATTGTATTTGAGTCCAATCCATTCCAGTCCATTACATTTGGGTCCATTCCATTCCATTCTATTCCATTTCATTCCATTCCTTTCAATGCCATTCCATTCGATTCTATTCCTTTTGAGTCCATTCCATTTGAGTCCTTTCATTCCTTTCCATTCCATTCCATTCGACGCCATTCCATTGGTTTCAATTCCATTCAACTCCATTCCATTCCATTCCGTTCCATGCGATACCATTCCATTCTATTCCTTTCCATTCCATTCCATTTGTTTCCATTCCATTCGAGTCCATTCCACTCCAGTCCATTCCATTCGTGTCCAATGCATTCCAGTCCATTCCTTTCAAGTCTATTCCATTCTATTCGATATCTTTCCATTACACTCCATTCCATTCTTTTTCTTTTGATTCTATTCAATTCCATTCCATTCGATTCCATTCCAATTGATTTCATTCCGTTCGACTCCATTACATTCGACTCCATTCCTTTGTAGTCCATTCCATTCCATTACATTACGCTACGTTCCCTTCCATTCCGTTCCATTCGATTCCAATCGGTTCAATTCCATTTTGTTCCAGTCCATTCCATTCGAGTCCATTCCATTCCAGTCCATTGCGTTTGACTCCATTCCATTTGATTCCATTCCATTCGATTCCATTCCACTCGATTCCACTACGTTCCATTCTATTGCATTCTATTCTATTCCGTTCCATTGTATTCCTTTCCATTTCTTTTGATTTCATTCCGTTCGATTCCAAGGCATTCGAATCAATTACTTTTCTATCCGTTACATTCCAGTACATTCTATTCCAATCCAATCCATTCCGGTACATTCCATTCGGTTTCATTCCATTCTATTCCATTCCATAATATTGAATTACTTTCTATTCCATTCTATTTGAATAAATTATATTCGAGACCATTCCTTTTCCGTCCATTCTATTTGAGTCCATTCCATTCAAGTCCATTACATTTGGGTCCATTCCATTCGATTCCATTGCATTCCATTCCTTTCCATTCCATTCGATGCCATTCCATTCGATTACATTCCATACTATTGTATTCCATTCGATTCCATTGCATTCCATTCCTTTCCATTCCATTCGATGCCATTCCATTCGATTACATTCCATACTATTGTATTCCATTCGATTCCATTCTATTCGAATAAATTCCATTCGAGACCATTCCTTTCAAGTCCATTCTATTTGAGTCCATTCCTTTTGTGTCCATTACATTTGGGTCCATTCCATTCCATTCTATTCCATTCCACTCCATTCCATTCCATTCGATGCCATTACACTCGATTCTATTCCACTCGAGTCCATTATATGCGAGTCCATTTTATTCCATTCCATTCCATTCGATGACATTCCATCAGATACTACTCCTTTCAACTCCATTCCATTCCATTCCTTTGAGTCCGATTCCATTCCATCATATTCCATTCCATTGCATTCCATTGGTTTCCATTCCTTTCGAGTCCATTCCACTGCAGTCCATTCCATTCCATTGGTTTCCTTTCCTTTTGAGGCCATTCCACTGCAGTCCATTCCATTCGAGTCCATTCCATTCCAGTCCATTCCATTCCAGTCCATTCCATTCGATTCCCTTCCATTCGACTCCATTTTATTCCATTCCATTCCACTCCATTCCATTCCATTTTGTTCTGTTCGATTCCAATCCGTTCGATTCCATTTTGTTCCAGTCTATTCAATTCAAGTCCATTGCATTCCAGTCCATTCCATTCAAGTCCATTCCATTCAATTCCATTCCAAACCATTCCCCTCCGTTCTATTCCATTCCACTCGATTCCACTCCGTTCCATTCCATAGCCTTCCATTCTATTCCATTCCATTCCATTGCATTCCATTCCATTCCATTTGATTACATTCCATTTGATTCCATTCCATTTGAATCAATTACATTTTAATCCATTAAATTCTAGTCTGTTCTATTCCAGTCCATTCCATTCTGGTCCATTCCATTCGATTGCATTCCATTTGATTCCATTCCATACTATTGCATTCCAATCGCTTCCATTCTATTTGAATAAATTCCATTCGAGACCATTCCTTTCAAGTCCATTCTATTTGAGTCCATTCCATGCGAGTCCATTTCATTTGGGTCCATTCCATTCCATTCTATTCCATTCCATTCCATTCCATTTGATGCCATTACATTCAATTCTATTACATTCGAGTCCATTCTATTCGAGTCCATTCCATTCCATGCCATTCCATTCCATTCGGTGCCATTCCATTGGATTCTATTCCTTTCAACTCGATTCCGTTCCATCCGATTCCATTCCATTCTATTCCTTTCCATTCCATTCCATTCCATTCCATTCTTTTCCATTTCATTCGAGTCCTCTTCACTGCAGTCCATTCCATTTGAGTTCATTCCATTTCAGTCCATTCCATTCGTGTCCAATCCATTGCATTCCAATCAATGCCATTCCATTCGATTCTATTCCATTCGACTCCATTCCCTTCCATTCCATTACATCTGATTCCATTCCATTCTATTCCTTTCCATTCCATTCCGTTGCATTCCATTCCCTTCCATTCATTTCCATTCCATTCGAGTCCATTCCACTCCAGTCCAATCCATTCTAGACCACTTCATTCCAGTCCATTCCATTCGAGTCCATTCCATTCCATTCGATATATTTCCATTACACTCCATTCCATTCTATTCGTTTCATTTCCATTCAATTCCATTCCATTTGATTCCATTCCAATCGATTCCATTCCATTCGCATCCATTCCATTCGAGTCTATTCCACTCTATTACATTCCATTCCATTCCCTTCCTTTTGATTGTAATCCATTCAATTCCATTTTGTTCCAGTCCATTCGAGTCCTCTGCATTCCAGTCCTTTCCATTGGATACCATTCCATTCGATTCCATTCCACTTGATTCCACTCCGTTCCGTTCCATTGCATTCCATTCCATTTGATTACATTCCATTCGATTCCATTCCATTCGAATCAATTACATTGCAATTCATTACATTCGAGTTCGTTCTATTCCAGTTTGTTCCATTCTGACCATTCCATTCGATTCCATTCCATTTGATTCCATTCCATACTATTGCATTCCTTTCGATTCCATTCTATTCGAATAGATTCCATTTGAGACCATTTCTTTCTATTCCATTCTGTTTGAGACCATTCCATTCGAATCCATTACATTTGGGTCCATTCCATTCCATTACATTACATTCGATGCCATTCCTTTCGATTATATTTCAATCGAGTCCATTCCATTCCATTCCATTCCTGTAAATTCCATTTGATGCCATTCCTTTCAATTCTATTCCATTCGACTCCATTCCATTCCATTCCATTACATCCGATTCCATTGAATCCTATTCCTTTCCATTCTATTCCATTGCATTCCATTCCATTCGTTTCCACTGCATTCGAATCCATTCCACTCCAGTCCATTCCATTCGAGTCCATTCCACTCCAGTCCATTCCATTCGAGTCCAATCCATTCGAGTCCATTCCATTCAATTCAATATCTTTCCATTACACTCCATTCCATTCTATTCCTTTCGATTCCATTCAATTCCATTCCATTCGATTCCATTCTATTCTATTCCATTCCATTAGCCTCCATTCCTTTCAACTCCATTCCATTCGAGTCCATTCCATTCCATTCCATTCCGTTCGATTCCAATCCATTCGATTCCATTTTGTTCCAGTCTATTCCATTGGAGTCCATTGCATTCCATTCCATTCCATTCCACTCGAATCCATTCCATTCGATTCCATTCCACTCGATTACACTCCTTCCATTCCAATGCATTCCATTCTATTCCATTTCGATGCATTCCGTTCCATTCCATTTGATTACATTCCATTTGATTCCATTCCATTTGAATCAATTACATTTTAATCCATTAAATTCAAGTCTGTTCTATTCCAGTCCATTCCATTCTGGTCCACTCCATTCGATTCCATTCCATTCGATTCCATTCCATACTATTTCATTCCATTCGATTTCATTCTATTCGAATAAATTCCATTCGAGACCATTCCTTTTGAGTCCATTATATTTGAGTCCATTCCATTCGAGTCCATTATATTTGTGTCCATTCCATTCCATTCCAATCGATGCCATTCCATTCGATTCTGTTCCAATTGAGTCCATTCCATTCCAGTCCGTTCCATTTCATTCCATTCTATTCCATTCCATTCCATTCCATTCCATTATATTCCATTCAACTCCATTCCATTCCATTCTGTTCCATCTGATTCCATTCCATTCTATTCCTTTCCATTCCATTCATTTACATTCCATTCGAGTCCATTCCACTCCAGTCTATTCCATCCTAGTTCATTGTATTCCAGTCCATCCCATTCGAGTCCATTCCATTCCATTCCATTCGATATCTTTCCATTACCCTCCATTGCATTCTATTCCTTTTGATTCCATTCAACTCCATTTCATTCGATTCAGTTCCATTCAATTCCATTCCATTTGATTCCATTCCTTTTGACTCCATTCCATTCGAATCTATTCCATTCCATTCCATTCCATTCCATTCCTTTCAATTCTAATTTGTTCAATTCCATTATGTTCCAGTCCATTCCATTCGACTCCATTCCATTCCAGTCCATTCCATTCGAATCCATTCCACTCTATTCCAGTGCGTTCCATTCCATTGCATTCCGTTCTATTCCATTCCATTGCATTCCATTCAATTCCATTTGATTACATTCCATTAGATGTCATTCCATTCAAATCAATCACATTGCAATCCATTACATTCGTGTCTGTTCTATTCCGGTCCATTCCTTTTGGTCCATTCCACTCTATTCCATTCCATTTGATTCCATTCCATTCTACTGCATTCCATTGGATTCCATTCTATTCGAATAAATTCCTTTCGAAAACATTCCTGTCGAGTCCATTTTGTTTGAGCCCATTCCATTCGAATCCATTACACTTGTGTCCATTCCATTCCATGACATTCCATTACATTACATTCGATGCCATTCCATCGATTATATTCCATTCGAGTCCATTCCTGTCCATTCCTTTTGTTGCCATTCCATAGATTCTATTCCATTCGACTCCATTGCATTCCATTCCATTCCATCCGATTCCATTCTATTCTATTCCTTTCCGTTCCATTCCATTGCATTCCATTCCATTCGTTTCCATTCCATTCGAGTCCATTCCACTCCAGGCCATTCCATTCGAGTCCATTCCATTCCAGTCCATTCCACTCGAATCCATTGCATTAAATTCCATTCCATTTGATATCTTTCCCTTAAACTCCATTCCATTCTATTCCTTTCAATTCCATTCAATTCCATTCCATTCGATTCCATTCCACTCGACTCCATTCCATTCAAGTCCACTCCATTCCATTCCATTCCATCCCGTTCCGTTTGATTCCAATCCTTTCAATTTCATTTTGTTCCAATCCATTGCATTTGACTCCATTCCATTCGAATCCATTCCATTCGATTCCATTCTATTTGATTCCATTCTGCGCGATTCCACTGCATTCCATTCCATTGCATTCCATTCTATTCCATTCCATTGCATTCCACTCCATTCCATTTGATTACATTCCGTTCGATTCCATTCGAATCTGTTACCTTGCAATCCATTACATTCGAGTCGGTTCTATTCCAGTCCATTCCATTCCAGTCCATTCAATTCGATTCCATTCCATTCGATTCCTTTCCATACTATTTCATTCCATTTGATTCCATTCAACTCGAATAAATTCCATTCGAGACCATTCCTTTCGAGTCCATTCTATTTGAGTCCATTCCATTCGAGTCCGTTACGTTTGGGTCAATTCCATTCCATTGCATGCCATTCCATTCCATTCTATTCCATTCGAGTCCATTCCATTCGAGTCCATTCCATTCGAGTCCATCCCACTCCATTCTTTTCTTTCCATTCCATTCGATGTCATTCCATTGGATTCTATTCCATTCAACTACTTTCCATTCCATTCCGTTCCATCCAATTCCATTCCATTCTATACCATTTCATACCATTCCATTCCATTCCGTTTCCATTCCATTCGATTAGATTCTGTTCGAATAAATTATATTCGAGACCATTCCTTTAGAGTCAATTCCATTCGATTCCACTCCACTCGAGTACATTCTATTTGATTCCATTCCATTCGATTCCATTAAACTCGATTCCACTCTGTTCCATTCCATTGCATTCCATCCTCTTCCTTTCCATTGCATTCCATTCTATTCCGTTTGATTACATTCCATTCGATTCCATTCCATTCGAATCAATTACATTGCAATCCATTGCATTCGAGTCCTTTCTATTCCTATCCATTCCATTCCAGTCCATTCCATTCGATTCCATTCCGTTCGATTCCATACCATACTATTGCTTTCCATTCGATTCCATTCTATTCTAATAAATTCCATTTGAGACCATTCCTTTCAAGTCCATTCTATTTGAGTCCATTCCATTAGAGTCCATTACGTTTGGGTCCATTCCATTCCATTCCTTTCCATTCCATTCGATGCCATTCCATTCTATTCTGTTGCATTCGAGTCCATTCCATTCGAGCCCATTCCTTTCTATTCCATTCAATTCAATGCCATTCCATTCGATTCTATTCCATTCGACTCCATTCTGTTCCATTCCATTCCATCTGATTCCATTCCATTCTATTCTATTCCATTCCATTCCTTTCCTCTCCATTCGTTTCCATTCCATTTGATTCCATTCCACTGCAGTCCATTCCATTCGGGTCCATTCCATTCCAGTCCATTCTACTCCATTCTATTCCATTGCAGTCCATTCTACTCCATTCTATTCCATTCCATTCCATTGGATATCTTTACATTACACTCCCTTTCATTCTATTCCTTTCGAATCCATTCAGTTCCATTCCATTCGCTTCCATTCCTTTCGACTCCATTCCATTCCATTCCATTCCATTCTGTTCCGTTCAGTTCGATTCCAATCTGTTCGGTTGCATTTTGTTCCAGTCCATTCCATTCGAGTCCATTCCATTCCAGTCCATTCCATTCGAATCTGTTACATTTGATCCCATTCCATTCGATTCCATTCCACTCGATTCCACTCCGTTCCTTTTTATTGCATTCCATTCTATTCCATTCCATTGCATACCATTCCAATCCATTTGATTACATTCCATTTGAATCCATTCCATTCAAATCAATTATATTGCAATCCTTTACATTCGAGTCCTTTCTATTCCAGTCCATTCCATTCCAGTCAATTAAATTAGATTCCATTCTATTCGATTACATTCCATTCTATTGCATTCCATTCGATTCCATTCTATTCGAATAAATTCCATTCAAGACCATTCCTTTCGCGTCCATTACATTTGGGTCCATTCCTTTCCATTCCATTCCATTCGATGCCATTCCATTCTGTTCTATTTCCATTTGAGTCCATTCCATTCGAGTCCATTCCATTCAATGACATTCCATTCCATTCTATTTCATTCGAATCCATTCCATTCCATTCCATTCCATCTGATTCCATTCCATTCTATCGTTTTTCATTCCATCCCATTTCATTCGTTTCCATTCCTTTCAAGTCCATTCCACTCCAGATCATTCCCTTCGATTCCTTTCCATTCCCATCCATTCCTTTCGATTCCATTCCACTCCATTCGATATCATTCCATTTCACTCCATTTCATTCTATTCCTTTCGATTCCATTCATTTCCATTCCATTCGTATCCATTCCATTTGATTACATTCCATTCGACTCCCTTCCATTCGGGTCCATTCCAATCCATTCCGTTCCTTTCCATTCCGTTCAGTTCCAATCCGTTCGAATCCATTTTGTTCTCGTCCATTCCACTCGAGTCCATTCAATTCCAGTCCATTCCATTCGATTCCAGTCCATTCGAGTCCTCTCTGTTCCGTTCCATTCCATTGGATATCTTTACATTACACTGCTTTTCATTCTATTCTTTTCGATTCCATTCAATTCCATTCATTTGCTTCCATTCCATTCTACTCCATTCCATTCGAGTCCATTCCTTTCCATTCCATTCCATGCCATTCGATTCCAGTCTCTTTGATTCCATTTTGTTCCAGTCCATTCCATTCGAGACCATTCCATTCAATTCCATTCCAGTCGATTCCATTCCACTCAATTAAACTCCGTTCCATTCCATTGCATTCCATTCTATTCCATTCCATTGCATTGCATTCCATTCCATTTGATTATTTTCCATTTGATTCCATTCCTTTCGAATCAATTACATTGCAGTCCATTACATTCGAGTCCGTTCTATTCCAGTCCATTCCGTTCTGGTCCATTCCATTCGATTCCATTCCATTCGATTCCATTCCATACTATTGCTTTCCATTCAATTCCATTCTATTCGAATAAATTCCATTCCAGACCATTCCTTTCGAGTCCATTCTGTTTGTCCATTCCATTCAAGTTCATTACATTTGGGTCCATTCCATTCCACTCCATTCCATTACATTCAATGCCTTTCCATTCCATTCTATTCCATTTGACTCCACTCCATTCAAATCCATTCCATTCCTTTCCATTCCATTCATTGCCATCCCACTCGATTCTATTCCATTTGACTCCATTCCGTTCTATTCCAATCTTTCCGATTCCAATCCATTCCATTCCATTCCATTACATTACATTACATTCGATGCCATTCCATTTGATTCTATTCCACTCGAGTCCATTCCAATCGAGTCCATTCCATTCCATTCCATTCAATGCCATTCTGTTCAAGTCCATTTCATTTGAATCCATTCCATTCCATTCCGTTCCATCCAATTCCATTCCATTCTATTCCTCTCCGTTCCATTCCATTGCATTCCATTCGTTTCCTTTTCATTTGAATCCATTCCTCTCCAGTCCATTCCATTCGAATCCATTCCATTACACTCCATTCCATTGGAGTCCATTCCATTCCATTCAATATCTTTCCATTACACTCCATTCCCTTCTATTCCTTTCAATTCCATTCAATTCCATTCCATTCAATTCCATTCCATTTTATTTCATTCCATTCGATTCCATTCCACTCGATTGCACTCCGTTCCATTCCATTGCATTCCATTCTATTCCATTCCATTGCATTCCATTCCTTTCCATTTGATTACATTCCATTCGATTCCATTTCATTTGAAACAATTACATTGCAGTCTATTACATTCGAGTAAGTTCTATAGCAGTCCATTCCATTCCGGTCCATTCCATTCAATTCCATTCAATTTGATTCCATTGCATACCATTGCATTCCATTCCATTTAAATTCTATTCAAATAAATTCCATTTGAGACCATTCCTTTCCAGTCCATTCTGTTTGAGTCCATTCCATTCGAGTCCATTACATTTGGGTCCATTCCATTCCATTCCAATCCGTTCGATTCCATTGTGTTCCAGTCCATTCCATTCTACTCCATTCAATTCCATTCCATTCGATTCCATTCCATTTGATTCCATTCCACTCGATTCCACTCCGTTCCATTCCTTTGCATTCCATTCTATTCCATGCCATTGCATTCCATTCCATTCCATTCCATTGCATTCCATTCCATTCCATTTGATTACATTCCTTTCGATTCCAAGGCACTAGAATCAATTACATTTCATTCCATTATATTCGACTCCATTCTATTCCAGTCCATACCTTTCCAGTACACTCCACTCGATTCCATTCCATTCAATTCCTTTAGAAACTATTGCATTCCTTTCGATTCCATTGCATTCGAATAAATTCCATTCAGACCATTCCTTTCGATTCCATTCTATATGAGTCCATTCCATTCAAGTCCATTACGTTTGGAACCAATCCATTCCGTTCATTTCCATTCCTTTCCATTCCATTCGATGCCTTTCCATTTGATTCTATTCCATTTAAGTCCATAACATTCCATTCCATTCAATTCCATTTGATGCGATTCCATTCGATTCTATTCCATTCGACTCCATTCCATTCCATTACATTCCATCTGATTCAGTTCCATTCCTTTCTATTCCTTTCCATTCCATTCCATTCCATTCATTTCAATTCCATTCGAGTCCATTCCACTCCAGTCCATTGCATTCGAGGCCATTCCATTCCAGTCAATTCCATTCTAGTCCATTCCATTCCATTTAATATCTTTCCATTACACTCCATTCCATTCTATTCCTTTCGATTCCCTTCAATCCTAATCCATTCCATTCAGTTCCATTCCATTTGACTCCATTCCATTCGAGTCCATTCCTTTCCATTCCATTCCATTACATTACATTACATTTGACTCCAAACCGTTCAATTCCATTTTGTTCCAGTCCATTCCATTCGAGTCCATTCCAAACAAGTCCATTGCATTCGATTCTATTCCATTTGATTCCATTCGATTTGATTTCATTCCACTCGATTCCACTCTGTTCCCTTCCACTGCATTCCATTCTTATCTATTCCATGGCGTACCATTCAATTCAATTTGATTACATTTCATTCAATTTCATTCCATAGAAATCAATTGCATTGCAATCCATTACATTCGAGTACATTCTATTTCAGTCCATTCTATTCCGGTCCATTCCATTTGATTCCATTCCATTCTTTTGCATTAAATTAGATTCCATTCTATTCGAATAAATTCCATTCGAGACCATTCCTTTCGAGTACATTCTATTTGAGTCTATTCCATTCAAGTCCATAACATTTGGGTCCATTCCATTCCATTCCAATCAATTCCATTCGATGCCATTCCATTGGATTCTATTTCATTCGAGTCCATTCCATTCGATTCGATTCATTCCATTCCATACCATTCGCTGCCATTACGTTTGATTCTATTCCATTCGACTCCATTCCATTCCATTCCATTCCTTCCGATTCTATTCCATTCTATTCTTTTCCATTCCATTCCATTACATTCGTTTCCATTCCATTCGAGTTCATTCCACCCCAATCCATTCCATTCGTGTCCATTCCATTCCATTCCGTTCTTTTTGAGTCCATTCCATTCCATTCCATTACATTCGAAATCTTTCCATTACACTGCATTCCATTCTATTCCTTTCGATTCCATTCAATTCCATTCCATTCGATTCCATTCCATTCAACTCCATTCCATTCGAGTCCATTCCATTCCATTCCATTCTGTTCCATTTGATTCCTATCCGTTCGATTCCATTTTGCTCCACTCCATTCAATTAGAGTCCTTTCCATTCGATTCCATTCCTTTCTATTCCTTTCCAATTGATTCCGTTCCACTCGGTTCCAATCCATTCCTTTCCATTGCATTCCTTTCTATTCCATTCCATTGCTTTCCATTCCATTCCATTTGGTTATATTTCTTTTGATTCCATTCCATTCGAATCAATTACATTGCAATCCATTAAAATCGAGTCCGATCTATTCCGGTCCATTATATTGCAGTCCATTCCATTCGATTCCATTCCATTTTATTCCATTCCATTCTATTGGATTTCTTTGGATTCCATTCTATTTGAATAAATTACATTCGAGAGCATTCCTTTCGAGTCCATTATATTTGAGTCCATTACATTACATTCCATTACATTTGGTTCCATTCCATTCCATTCGATGCCATTCAATTCGATTCAGTTCGAGTCCATTCCATTCGAGTCCATTCCATTCCATTCCATGCATTTCAATTCAATTCTATTCCTTTCGACTCCATTCCATTCCGTTCTGTTCCATCCTATTCCATCCCATTCTATTCCTTTCCATTCCATTCCACTCCAGTCCATTCCATTCGAGGCCATTCTGTTCCAGTCCATTCCATTCCATTCCATTCCATTCCATTTGATATCTTTCCATTACACTCCATTCCATTGTATTCCTTTCGATTCCATTCAATTCTAATCCATTCCATTTGGTTCCATTCCAGTTGATGCCATTTCATTTGAGTCCATTCCTTTCCATTCCATTCCATTCCATTCCCTTCCATTCGACTCCAATCCGTTCGATTCCATTTTGTTCCAGTCCATTCCATTCGAGTCCATCCCAAACAAGTCCATTCCATTCAATTCCATTCCATTCGATTCCATTCAATTCGATTTCATTCCACTCGATTCCATTCCGTTCCATTCCATTGCATTCCATTCTTTTCCATTCCATTGCATACCATTCAATTCCATTTGATTACATTGCATTCGATTCCATTCCATTCAAATCAATTGCCTTGCATTCCATTACATTTGAGTACATTCTATTTCAGTCCATTCCATTCCAGTCCATTCCATTTGATTCCATTCCATTCTATTGCATTCCATTAGATTCCATTCTATTCGAATAAATTCCATTCGAGACATTTCCTTTCGAGTTCATTCTATTTGAGTCTATTCCATTCGTGTCCATAACATTAGGGTCCATTCCATTGCATTCCCTTCCATTCTATTCCAATCAATTCCATTCAATGCCATTCCATTTGATTCCATTCCATTCGACTCCATTCCATTCGAGTCCATTCCATTCCTTTCCATTCCATTCCATTCCATTCCTATCTGTTCGATTCCATTTTGTTCTACTCCATTCCATTCGAGTCCATTCCATTCGAGTCCATTCAATTCAATTCCATTCCTTTCAATTCCTTTCCATTCGATTCCATTCCACTCGATTCCACTCCATTCCTTTCCATTGCATTCCATTCTATTTCATTCCATTGCATTCCATTCCTTTCCATTTTTTATATTCCTTTCGATTCCATTCCACTCAAATCAATTACATTGCAATCCATTACATTCGAGTCCATTCTATTTCATTCCATTCCATTCTGGTCCATTCCATTTGATTCCATTCCATTCTTTTGCATTCCATTCTATTTGAATAAATTACATTCGAGAGCATTCCTTTCAAGTCCATTCTATTTGAGTCCATTGCATTCGAGTCCATTACATTTCGTTCCATTCCATTCCATTCCATTCGATGCCCTTCCATTCGATTCTGTTCCATTCGAGTCCATTCCATTAGAGTCCATTCCATTCGATGCACTTGAATTCAATTCTATTCCATTTGACTCCATTCCATTCCATTCTGTTCCATCCGATTCCATCCCATTCTATTCCTTTCCATTCCATTCGAGTCCATTCCATTCCAATCCATTCCATTCGAGTCCATCCCATTCCATTCCTTTCCATTCGATATCATTCCATTTCACTCCATTCCATTCTATTCCTTTCGATTCTATTCAATTCCATTCCATTCTATTCCATTCCATTCGAATCCATTCCTTTCGATTCCATTCCATTCCATTCCATTAAATTCTATATCATTCCATTGCACTCCATTCCATTCTATTCCTTTCAATTCCATTCAATTCTATTCCATTTGATTCCATTCCATTCGATTACATTCCATTTGACTCCATTCCATTCGATTCCATTCCTTTCCATTCTATTCCATTCTGTTCCGTTTGATTCCAGTGCATTCGATTCCATTTTGTTCCAGTCCAGTCCATTCGTGTCCATTCCATTACAATTCATTCCATTCGATTCCATTCCATTAGATTCCATTCCACTCAATTCCACTCCGTTCCATTTTAATGCATTCCATTCTATTCCATAACATTGCATACCATTCCATTCCATCTGATTGTATTCCCTTTGAATCCATTCCATTCAAATCAATTACATTGCAATCCATTACATTCATGTCCGTTCTATTCCAGTCCATTCCATTCCGGTCAATTCCATTTGATTCCATTCCATTCTATTCAATTGCATACTATTGCAGTCCGTTCGATTCCATTCTATTCGAATATATTCCATGCGAGACTGTTCTTTTGAGTCCATTCTATTTGAGTCCATTCCATTCGAGTCAATTACATTTGGTTCCATTCCTTTCAATTTCATTACATTACATTACATTCGATACTATTCCATTCTATTCTATTCAATTCGAGTCAATTCCATTCGAGTCCATACCATTCCATTCCATTACATTCCATTTGATGCCATTCCATTCGATTCTATTCCATTCAACTCTATTCCATTCCATTCCTTTCCATCTGATTCCATTCCATTCTATTCCTTTCCATTCGATTCTATTCCATTCAACTCTATTCCATTCCATTCCTTTCCA
The DNA here is from genome assembly GCF_000001405.40 of Homo sapiens. Lineage (NCBI taxonomy): Eukaryota > Metazoa > Chordata > Mammalia > Primates > Hominidae > Homo > Homo sapiens. The sequence goes on along the minus strand of NC_000017.11, from coordinate 21,864,899 downwards.
TCTGATTCCATTCCATTCTACTCCTTTCCATCGCATTCCATTCCATTCCATTCCGTTCCGATCAATTCCAATCCGTTTGATTCCATTTTGTTCCAGTCCATTTCATTCGAGTCCATTCAACTGCAGTCCATTCCATTCGATTCCATTCCTTTCAATTCCATTTCTTTCGATTCCATTCCACTCGAATCCACTCCGTTCCTTTCCATTGAATTCCATTCTACTCCATTCCATTGGATTCCATTCCATCCCATTTGATTACATTCCATTCGCTTCCATTCCATTCGAAACAGCTACATTGCAATTCATTACATTCAAGTCTTTTCTATTCCAGTCCAATCCATTACGGTTCATTCCATTCGATTCCATTCCATTCGATTCCATTCCATACTATTGCATTCCATTTGACTCCATTCTATTCAAATAAATTCCATTCGAGACCACTCCTTTCGGGTCCATTCTATTTGATTCCATTCCTTTCAATTCCATTACATTTCGGTACATTCAATTCCATTCCATTCCATTCCATTTCATTCGATGCCATTCCATTCCATTCAATTCCATTCGAGTCCATTCCATTCGATTCCAATCCATTCGACTCCATGCCAATCGAGTACATTCCACTCCATTCCATTCCATTCGATGCCATTCCATTTGATTCTATTCCATTAGAGTCCATTCCATTCGAGTCCATTCTATTCCATTCCACTCCATTCCATTCAACGACTTTTCATTCGATTCTCTTCCATTCGACTCCATTCCATTCCTTTCCATTCCATTCCATCCGATTCCATTCCATTCTATTCCTTTCCATTTCATTCCATTTCTTTCCTTTCCTTGCGATGCCATTCCTTTTGATTCTATTCCATTCGAGTCCATTCCATTCGAGTACATTTCATACCATACCTTTTGATTCCATTCTATTGCATTCCACTCAATGCCATTATATTTGATTCTATTCCATTTGACTCCATTCCAATCCATTCCGTTCCGTCCGATTGCATTCCATTCTATTCCTTTCCGTTCCAGTCCATTCCATTCCATTCCATTCGTTTCCATTCCATTCGAGTCCATTCCACTCCAGTCCATTCCTTTCGAGTCCATTCCACTCCAATCCTTTCCATTCGAGTCCCCTCCATTAAAGTCCATTCCATTCGAGTCCATTCGATTCCATTCCATTCGTTATCTTTCCATGATACTCCCTTCCATTCTATTCCTTTCAATTCCATTCAATTTCATTCTATTCCGTTCCATTCCTTTCGACTCCATTCCCTTCGAGTCCATTCTCTTCCATTCCATTCCACTCCGTTAGAGTCAATTCCAATCCGTTTGATTCCATTTTTTCCACTCCATTACATTCGAGTCCATTCGATTCCATTCCATGCCATTCGATTCCATTGCATTCGATTCCATTTCATTCAATTCGATTCCATTGGCTTGCACTCCATTCCATTTCGTTTCATTCCATTCTATTCCATTTCATTGCATTGCTTTCCATTCCAATGCATTCCATTCCATTACATTACATTACATTCGATTTCATTCCATTCAAATCAATTACATTGCAATGCATTACTTTCGAGTCCATTCTATTCCAGTCCATTCCACTCTGGTCCATTCCATTCGATTCCATTCCATTCTATTCCATTCCATACAATTGCATTCCATCCGATTCCATTCTATGCGTATAAATTCCATTCGAGACCATTCCTTTCGAGTCCATTCTATTTGAGTCCGTTCCATTTGTGTCCACTACATTTGGGTCCATTCCATTCCACTCCATTCCATTCCATTCAATTCCATTCCTTTCGATTCTATTCCATTAGTGTCCATTCCATTTGAGTCCATTCCATTCCCTTATATTCCATTCCATTCGATGCCATTCCTTTCGGTTCTATTCCATTCGACTCCATTCTATGCCATTCCGTTTCATCCGATTCCATTCAATTCTGTTACTTTCCACTCCATTCCATTCCTTTCCATTCCATTCTATTCGTTTCCATTCCATTCGAGTCCATTCCACTCCAGTCCATTCCATTCGAGTCCCTTCCATTCCAGTGCATTCCATTCGAGTCTTTTCCATTCCATTCTATTCCATTCGATGTCTTTCCATTACACTCCATTCCATTCTATTCCTTTTGTATCAATTCAATTCCATTCCATTGGGTTCCATTACATTCTACTAAATTCCTTTCGAGTCCGTTCCATTCCAGTCCATTCCAGTCCAGTCCATTACATTCATTTCTATTCCTTTCGATTCCATTCCACTCGATTCCATTCCATTGCATTCCATTATATTCCACTCCATTGCATTCCATTCTATTCCATTCCATTGCATTCCATTCATTTCAATTCAATTGCACTCCATTCCATTCCATTTGATTACATTCCCTTCGATGCCATTCCATTCGTATCAATTACATTGCAATCCATTACATTCAAGTCCGTTCTATTCCAATCCATTCCATTCCAGTCAATTCCATTCGATTCCATTCCATTCGATTCCATTACATACTATTGCATTCCGTTCAATTCCATTCTATTTGAATAAATTCCATTCGAGACCATTCCTTTCAAGTCCATTCTATTTGAATCCAAGCCATTCGATTCCATTAAATTTGGGTCCATTCCATTCAATTCCATTCCATTCCTTTTGATGCCATTCCATTCGATTCTATTCCATTCAATTCCATTCCATTCGAGTCCATTTCATTTGATTCTATTCCATTCGACTCAATTCCAATCCATTCCGTTCCATCTGATTCCATTCCATTCTATTCCATTCCATTCCATTCTGATCCATTCCATTCCATTTGTTACCATTCCATTCGAGTCAATTCCACTCCAGTCCATTCCATTCAATTCCAGTACATTGCATTCGAGTCCATTCCATTCCATTTTTTTCCATTAGAATCTATTCCATTATATTACTTTCAATTCCATTCAATTCCATTCCATTCGATTCCATTCCAATCTATTCCATTCCATTCAACTCCATTCCATTAGGGTCCATTCCATCCCATTCCATTCCCTTCCGTTTTTTTCGATTCCAATCCGTTCAATTCCATTTTGTTCCAGTTCATTCCATTCGAGTCCATTCCATTCGATTCCATTCCGTTTGATTCCATTCCATTCGATTCCATTCCACTTGATTCCACTCTGTTCCTTTCCATTGCTTTCCATTCTATTCCAATCCATTGCATTCCATTCCATTCCATGCCATTCCATTCTATTCTATTCCTTTCCATTCGAGTCAATTGCATTGCAATCCATTACATTCGAGTCCATTCTATTCCAGTCCATTCCATTCCTTTCCATTCCATTCGAATCCATTCCATACCATTGCATTCCATTCGATTCCATTCTATTCAAATAAATTACATGCGAGACCATTCCTTTTGAGTCCATTCCATTCCATTCCATTCAATGCCTTTCCATTCGATTCTATTCCATTCGACACCATTCCATTCCATTCTGTTCCATCCGATTCCATACGATTCTATTCCTTTCCATTCCATTCCATTCCTTTCGTTTCCATTCCATTCCAGTCCGTTCCCGTGCAGTCCATTCTGTTCTAGTCCATTCCATTCCACTCCATTCCATTCGAGTCCATTCCATTCGATGTCTTTCCATTACAATCCATTCCATTCTATTCCTTTCAATTGCATTCAATTCCATTCAATTAGTTTCCGTTCCATTTGATTCCATTCCATTCGACTCCATTCCAATCGAGTCCATTCCATTCCATTGCATTCCATTCCATTCCGTTTGATTCCAATCCCTTCGATAGCATTTTGTTCCAGTCCATTCCATTCATTTCCATTCCATTCCAGTCCATTCTATTCCGTTCAATTCCATTCCACTCGATTCCAATCCGTTCCATTCCATTGCCTTCCTTTCTATGTTATTCCATTGCATTCCATTCCATTACATTTGATTACATTC
>NC_000017.11:21814103-21860937 GCF_000001405.40 Homo sapiens | reverse complement strand
CATACTATTGCATTTGATTTGATTCCATTCTATTTGAATAAATTCCATTCGAGACCATTACTTTTGAGTCCATTCTAAGTCCATTCCATTAGAGTCCATTACATTTTGGTCCATTCCATTCCATTCCATTCCATTCCATTCGATGCCATTCCATTGGATTCTCTTCCATTCGTCTCCATTCAATTCTGTTCTGTTCCATCCAATTCCATTCCATTCAATTCAATTGCATTCCTTTCCATTCCTTTCCATTCCATTCCATTCCACTCGATTCCACTCCGTTCCACTCCATTGCATTCCTTTCTATTCCATTCCATTGCATTCCATTCCTTTTCATCTGATTACATTCCATTCGATTCCTTTCCATTCGAATCAATTACATTGCAATCCATTACATTCGAGTCCATTCCATTCCCGTCCATTCTGTTCCGGTCCATTCCATTCGATTCCATTCCATTTGATTCCTTTCCATACTATTGCACTCCATTCGATTCCACTCCATACTATTGCACTCCATTTGATTCCATTCTGTTCGAAAAATTTCTATTAAAGACCATTCCTTTCATGTCCCTTCTATTTGAGTCCATTCCTTTCGAGTCCATTACATTTGGGTCCATTCCATTCCATTCTATTCCATTCCATTCCATTCGATGCCATTCTATTCGATTCTATTCCATTTGAGTCCATTCCATTCGAGTCCATTCCATTCCATGCCATTCGATTCCATTCGATTGGATTCTATCCCATTCAACTCCATTCCATTCCATTCTGTTCCATCCTATTTCATTCCATTATAATCTTTTCCATTCCGTTACTTTCCATTCCATTCCATTCCATTCGTTTCCATTCCGTTAAAGTCCATTCCACTCCAGTGTATTCCATTCGAGTCGATTCCATTCCAGTCCCTTCCATTCGAGTCCATTCCATTCGACTCCATTCCATTTCACTCCATTCCATTCGATATCTTTCTGTTAAACTCCATTCCATTCTTTTCCTTTTGATTCCATTCAATTCCATTCTGTACGATTCCATTCCATTCGATTGAATTCCATTCAACTCCATTCCATTCGAATCCATTCCATTCCATTCCATTCCGTTCAATTCCAAACCGTTCGATTCCATTTTGTTCCAGTCCTTTCCTTTTGAGTCCATTCCATACCAGTTTTTTCCATTCAATTCCATTCCATTCGAATCCATTCCATTCGATTCCATTCCACTCGATTCCACTCTGTTCTATTCCATTGCATTCCATTCTATTCCATTCCATTCCATTGCATTCCATTCAATTCCATTTGATTACATTCCATTCGATTCCAAGGAGTTTGAATCAATTACATTTCAATCCATTACATGCGAGTCCTTTCTATTCCAGTCCATTCCATTCCAGTCGATTCCATTCGATTCCATTCCACTTGATCCCATTCCATACTATTGCATTCCTTTTGATTCCATTCTATTCGAATAAATTCTATTCGAGACCATTCCTTTTGAATCCACTCTATTTGAGTCCATTCCATTCGATTCCTTTACATTTGGGTCCATTCCATTCCATTCCTTTCCATTCCATTCGATGCCATTCCATTCGACTCTATTCCATTAGAGTCCATTCCACTTGACTCCATTACATTCCCTTCCATTCCATTTGATGCAATTCCATTCTATTCTATTCCATTCGAGTCTATTCCATTCCATTCCGTTCCATCCGATTCCATTCCATTCTACTCCTATCCATTCCATTTCTTTTGTTTCCATTTCATTCGTGTCTATTCCACTCCAGTCCATTCCATTCGAGTCCATTCCATTCCATTCAGTATCTTTCCATGACATTCCATTCTATTCTATTCTTTTCAATTCCATTCAATTCAATTCCATTCAGTTCCATTCCATTCGACTCCATTCCATTCAAGTCCATTCTCTTCCATTCCATTGCATTCCGTTCTGTACGATTCCAATCTGTTTGATTCCATTTTGTTCAGTCCATTACATTCGAGTCCATTCCATTGCAGTCCATTCAATTCGATTCCATTCCATTCGATTCCACTCCATTCCATTCCATTCCGTTGCATCTGATTCCATTCCATTCTTTTCCTTTCCATTCCATTCCATTCTTTTCCATTCCATTCTATTCCATTCCACTCCAATCCATTCCATTCGAGTCGACTGCACTCCAGTACATTCCATTCGAGTCCATTCCATTACATTCCATTCCATTCGATATCTTTCCAAGACTCTCCATTCCATTCTATTCCTTTCAATTCCATTCAATTCCATTCCATTCCGTTCCATTCCATTTGACTCCATTCCATTCCAGTCCATTCTCTTCCATTCCATTCCGTTCCATTGCGTTCGAGTCCAATCCATTCGATTCCATTTTGTTCCAGTCCATTCCTTTCGAGTCCATTCCATTCCAGTCAATTCCATTCGATTCCATTCCATTCGATTCCATTATATTCGATTCCATTCCACTCTATTCCGCTCGATTCCATTCCATTGCATTCCATTCTATTCCATTCCACTGTATGCCTTTCCATTCCATTTGATTACATTCCATTGGATTCCATCCCTTTCAAATCAATTGCATTGCATTCCATTACGTTCAAGTCCGTTCTATTCCATTCCATTCCATTCCGGTCAATTCCATTCCATTCCATTCCATACTATTGCATTACATTCGATTCCATTCTATTTGAATAAATTCCATTCGAGACCATTCCTTTCTAGTCCATTCTATTTGTGTCTAATCCGTTCGAGTCCATTACATTTGAGTCCATTTCATTCCATTCGATGCCATTTCATTCAATTCTATTCCATTTGAGTCCATTCCATTCAATTAAATTCCGTTCCATTCCATTATATTCGATGCCATTCCATTCGATTCTATTCCATTCGACTCCATTCCATTCCATTCCATTCTATTCCTTCCCATTCCATTTCATTCCATTCCATCGCACTCCTTTCTATTCCATTCGAGTCCATTCAACTCCTGTCCATTCCATTCCAGTCCTTTCCATTCGAGTCCATTCCATTCCATTCCTTTCCATTCGATATCTTTTCATTTCACTCCATTCCATTCTATCCATTTCTATTCCATTCACTTCCATTATTTCGATTCAATTCCATTTGGTTCCATTCCATTATACTCCGTTCCAATCGAGTCCATTCCATTCCATTCCATTACGTTCTGTTCGATTCCAATCCGATTGATTCCATTTTGTTCCAGTCCAATCCATTTGAGTCCATTCCATTTCAGTCCATTCCATTCAATTCCATTCCATTCGATTTCATTCCATTCGATTCCATTCCACTAGATTCCACTCCGTTCCTTTGCATTGCATTCCATTCTATTCCATTCCATTGCATTCCTTTCCATTCCATTTGATTACATTACATTCGTTTCCATTCCTTTCAAATCAATTACATTACATTCTGTTACATTTGAGCCTGTTCTATTCCACTCCAATCCATTCCGGTCCATTCCATTCGATTACAGTTCTTTCGATTCCATTCCATACTATTGCATTCCATTCGATTCCATTCTATTCGAATAAATTCCATTCGAGACCATTCCTCTCGAGTCCATTCTATTTGAGTCCATTCCATTCGAGTCCATTACGTTTGGTTCCATACCATTCCATTCCAATCCATTCGATGCCATTCCATTCGATTCTGCTCCATTCGAGTACATTCCATTCGAGTCCATTCCATTCCATTCCATCTGATGCCATTCCATTCGATTCTATTCCATTCGACTGCATTCCATTCCATTCCATTCCATCCAATTCCATTCCATTCTATTCCATTCCTTTCCATTTCATTCCATTCCATTCATTTTCTTTCCATTCGAGTCCAATCCTCCCCAGTCCATTCCATTCCAGTCCATTCCATTCGAGTCCGTTCCGTTCCATTCCTTTCTATTCCATATCTTTCCATTACACTGCATTCGATTCTATTGCTTTCTATTCCATTCAATTCCATTCCATTCGATTCCATTCCATTTGATTTCATTCCTTTCGACTCCATTCCATTCGAGTCCATTCCATTCCATTTGATATCTTTCCATTACACTCCATTCCATTCTATTCCTTTCGCTTCTATTCAATTCCATTCCATTCGAGTCCATTCCATTCCATTTGATATCTTTCCATTACACTCCATTCCATTCTATTCCTTTCGCTTCCATTCAATTCCATTCCATTCGGTTCCTTTCCATTCGACTCCATCCATTCGTGTCCATTCAAATCCGTTCCATTCCATTCAGTTCCATTCGATTCCAATCTGTTCAATTCCATTTTGTTCCAGTCCATTCCATTCGAGTCCATTCCATTCCAGTCCATGCCATTCGATTCCATTCCATTCAGTTACATTCCATTCGATTCCAGTCCATGCCATTCGATAACATTCCATAAAATTCCATTCCATTCGATTCCATTCCATTCAGTTACATTCCATTCGATTCCAGTCCATGCCATTCGATAACATTCCATACAATTCCATTCCATTCGATTCCATTACACTCGATTCCACTCCACTCGATTCCACTCCGTTCCCCTTTATTGCATTCCATTCTATTCCATTGCATTGCATACCATTCCAATCCATTTGATTTCATTCCATTTGAATCCATTCCATTCAAATCAATTTCATTGCAATCCATTACATTCTAGTCGGTTCTATTCCAGTCCATTCCATTCTGGTCCATTCCATTCGATTCCATTCCATACGATTCCATTCCATTCGATCCCATTCCACTCGATTCCACGCCGTTCCTTTTTATTGCATTCCATTCTATTCCATTCCATTGCATATCATTCCATTCCATTTGATTACATTCCATTTGAATCCATTCTTTTGAAATCAATTACATTGCAATCCATTACATTCGAGTCGGTTCTATTCCAGTCCATTCCATTCTGGTTCATTCCATTTGATTCCATTCCATTCGATTCCATTCCATACAATTGCATTCCATTCGATTCCATTGTATTTCAATAAATTCCATTCGAGACCATTCCTTTCGACTCCATTCTACTTGAGTCCATTCCATTTGTGTCCTTTTCATTTGGGTCCAATCCATTCCATTACATTCCAATCCATTTCATTCCATTCCTTTCGATGCCATTCCATTCTATTCTATTCCATTCGAGTCCATTCCATTTTAGTTCATTCCATTCCAGTCCATTCGATGCCATTCCATTTGATTCTATTCCATTTGACTCCATTACTTTTGATTCCATTCCATCCGATTCCATTCCGTTTCCTTCCTTTCCATTCCTTTCCTTTCCATTCGATGCCATTCCATTCCATTCTATTCCATTCGAGTCCATTCCATTCGAGTCCGTTCCGTTCGATTCCATTCCATTGCATTCCCTTCGATGCCATTACACTTGATTCTATTCCATTTGAATACATTCCTTTTCGTGCCCTTTGATGCCATTACACTTGATTCTATTCCATTCGAATGCATTCCATTCCATTCCATTCCATCCGATTCCATTCCATTCTATTCCATTCCATTCCATTCCATTCCATTCGTTTCCATTCCACTCGAGTCCATTCCACTACAGTCCATTCCATTCGAGTCCATTCCATTCCATTCCATTTCTTTCCATTACACTCCATTCCATTCTATTCCTTTCAATTCCATCCAATTCCATTCTGTTCGATTCCATTCCTTTCAGTTCCATTCCATTCGAGACCATAGCATTTCATTCCATTCCATTCCAGTCCATTCCGTTCCGTTCGATTCCAATCCTTTTCATTCCATTACGTTCCTATCCATTCCATTCGATTCAATTCCATTCCAGTCCATTCCAATCGATTCCATTCCATTCGATTCCATTTCATTCAATTCCATTCCACTCGATTCCACTCTGTTCCATTCCATTGCATTCCTTTCTATTCCATTCCATTGCATTCCATTCTATTCCATTCCATGGCATTCCATTCTATTCCATTTGATTACATTCCATTCAATTCCATTCCATTCGATTCCATTCCATTCGATTCTATTACATTGAAGTCCATTCCATTCGACTCCATTGTATTCCAGTCCATTCCATTCTGGTCCAGTCCATTCGATTCCATTCCTTTCTATTCCATTCCATACTATTGAATTCCATTCGATTCCATTCTGTTCGAATAAATTCCATTCGAGACCATTCCTTTCAAGTGCATTCAATTTGTGTCCAATCCATTCGAGTCCATTACATTTGGGTCCATTCCATTCCATTCCAATCCGTTCGATGGCATTCCATTATGTTCTATTCCATTCGAATCCATTCCATTCGAGTCCATTCAACTCCATTCCATTCCGTTCCATTCCATTTGATGCCGTTCCATTCAATTTTATTCCATTCGACTCCATTCCATTCAATTCCATTCCAACCCATTCCATTCCCATCTATTCCTTTCCATTCTATTTCATTCCATTCGTTTCCATTCCATTCGAGTCCATTCCATTCCATTCCATTCCACTCAATGCTATTCCTTTCGTTTCTCTTCCATTTGACTCCATTCCATTCCATTCCATCCAATTTCCTTCCATTCTATTATTTTCCATTCCATTCCATTCGTTTCCATTCCATTCGAGTCCATTCCACTCCAGTCCATTCCATTCGATTCCATTCCTTTCCAGTCCATTCCATTCGAGTCCATTCCATTCCATTACATTCGATATCTTTTCATTACATTCCATTCCATTCTCTTCTTTTCGATTCCATTCAATTCCATTCCATTCGGTTCCATTCCATTCGACTCCATTCCATTCGAGTGCATTCCATTGCACTCCATTCCATTCCATTCCTTTCCATTCCAATCCGTTCTATTCCATTTTGTTCCAGTCCATTCCTTTCGAGTCCATTCCATTCCAGTCCATTCCATTCCGATCCATTCCATTCGATTCCATTCCATTCGATTCCATTCCACTCAATTCCACTCCATTCCATTGCATTGCATTCCATTCTATTCCATTACATTGCATTCCATTCCATTCCATTTGATTACTTTCCATTCGATTCCATTCGATTCGAATCAATTACTTTGTAATCCAGTACATTCGACTCCGTTCTATTCCAGTCCATTTCATTCCAGTCCATTCTATTCTATTCCATTCCATTCCATTCCATTCCATTCCATTCCATGCTATTGTATTCCATTCAATTCCATTCTATTCGAATGAATTCCATTCGAGACCATTCCTTTTGAGTGCATTCTATTTGAGTCCATTCCATTCGAGTCTATTACATATGGGTCCATTCCATTCCATTCAATGCCATTCCATCCTATGCTATTCCATTCGAATCCATTCCATTCGAGTCCATTCTATTCCATTCCTTTCCATTCCATTCCATTCCATTCGATGCCGTTCCATTTGATTCTATTCCATTCGATTCCATTCTTTTCCGTTCCGTTCCATCCGATTCCATTCCATTGTATTCCTTTCCATTCCATTCCATTCTATTCCTTTCCATTCCATTCCATTCCTTTCCTTTCCATTCCATTCAATGCCATTTCATTTGACTCTATTGCATTCGACTCCATTCCATTCCATTCCTTTCCATCCGATTTCATTCCATTCTATTCCTTTCCTTTCCATTCCAGTCCTTTCCATTTCATTCCATTCTTTTCCATTCCATTCAAGTCCATTCCACTCCAGTCCATTCCATTTGTGTCCGTTCCATTCCAGTCCATTCCATTCGAGTGCATTCCATTCCATTACATTCGTTATCTTTCCATTACACTCCATTCCATTCTATTCTTTCGATTACATTCAATTCCATTCCATTCGGTTCCATTCCATTCGACTGCATTCCATTCGAGTCCATTCCATTGCATTCTATTCCTTTCCGTTCCGTTCCATTCCAATCCGTTCGATTCCATTTTGTTCCAGTCCATTCCATTAGAGTCTATTCCATTCCAGTCCATTCCATTTGATTCCATTCTATTCGATTCCATTCCTATCGATTCCACTCCATTCCATTCCATTGCCTTCCATTATATTCCATTACATTCCATTTCATTTGATTACATTCCATTCGATTCCATTCCATTCGATTCAATTACATTGCAATCCATTACATTACAGTCTGTTCTACTCCAGTCCATTCCATTCCGGTCCATTCCATTCGATTCCATTCCATTCAATTCCATTCCATACTATTTCATTCCATTCGATCTCATTCTATTCGAATAAATACCATTCGAGACCAATCCTTTCGAGTCCATTCTATTTGAGTCCATTCCATTCAAGTCCATTACATTTCAGTCCATCCCATTCCATTCCATTCCATTCCGTTCCATTCCATTCGATGCCAATCCATTCTATTCTATTCCATTCGATTGCATTTCATCTGAGTCGATTCCATTCCATTCCATTCCATTTGATACCATTCCATTCGTTTCTGTTCCATTCGACTCCATTCCTTTCCATTCTGTTCCATCCGATTCCATTCTATTCTATTCCTTTGCATTCCATTCCATTCCGTTCCATTCCTTTCCATTCCTTTCGTTTTCATTCCATTCGCGTCGATTCCACTCCAGTCCATTCCATTCGAGTCCATTCCATTCCAGTCCATTCCTTTCAAGTCCATTCGATTCCATTCGATAACTTTCCTTTACACTCCATTCCATTCTATTCCCTTCGATTCTATTCAATTCCATTCTATTCAATTCCATTCCATTCGATTCCATTCCATTCGACTCCATTCCATTCCATTCGTGTCCATTCCATTCCAGTCAATTCCATTTGAGTCCATTCCATTCCATTCCATTCGATATCTTTTCATTACACTCAATTCCATTCTATTCCTTTCGATTCTATTCAATTCCATTCTATTCAATTCCATTCCATTCGATTTCATTCCATTCCACTCCAGTCCATTGCATTTGAGTACCTTCCATTCCAGTCCATTCCTTTCGATTCCATTACATTACATTACATTCGATATCTTTCCATTATATTCCATTCCATTCCTTTCGATTCCATTACATTACATTACATTCGATATCTTTCCATTATACTCCATTCCATTCTATTCCATTGGATTCTATTCAATTGCATTCTATTTTATTCCATTCCATTGGTTTCCACTCCATTCAACTCCATTCCCTTCGAGTCCATTCTATTCCATTCCATTCCGTTCCGTTCGATTCCATTCCATTCGATTCCATTTTGTTCCAGTAGATTCCATTCAAGTCCATTCCATTCCATTCCATTCCATTCGATTCTATTCCACTGGATTCCGTTCCACTCAGTTCCGCTCCATTCCATTCCATTGCATTTTATTTTATTCCATTCCATTTCTTTCAATTCCATTCCATTATATTACATTCCATTAGATTCCATTCCATTCAAATCAATTACACTGCAATCCATTACATTCGAGTCTGTTCTATTCCAGTCCATTCCATTTTGGTCCATTCCATTCGATTCCATTCCATTCGATTCGATTTTATTCGAATCAGTTACATTGCAATCCATTACATTCGACTCCATTCTATTCCATTCCGTTCCATTCCAGTCCATTCCATTCCGGTCCATTCCATTCGATTCCATTACATTCGATTCCATTCCATACTATTGCATTCCATTCGATTCCATTGTATTCGAATAAATTCCATTTGAGTCCATTTCTTTCGATTCCATTCTATTTGATTCCATTCCATTGCATTGCATTCTATTCCATTCCATTGCATTCCATGCCATTCCATTGGATTATGTTCCATTCGATTCTATTCCATTCTAATCAAATACATTGAAATCCATTACATTCGAGTACATTCTATTCTATTAGTACCCGGCAATATTTCCTCCTCCACTTCGTTTCCCACTGCCACTGCAGTATCCCTGCCCACAGTCCCAGAGCCACCTCTGCTTAATGGGGAGGTCAGGACAGATGTCCCATTCCATCCAATGCCATCTCCCAGGGTGCAGCCTCCTCATGGGGAAGAGGACTACCATGGCTAGTGGTGACATGGGTAGCTCTGGCTGCCAGGACTTCTCCCGGGGACGTCTGCTCAGGACATGGCACGGACAGAGGTGAGGTTACCATAAACTTCCTCGGAAATGACTACAAACCAGCTGAGACCATTCCAGCACCTAACACACTGACAGCACAGGGTGGGCCCACAGAAGGGGAAAGGCTAGGGAGTCCAGGGCCACAAGAGTCCCCCCTCCCTGAGCCCTTGAGCACAGCCATCCAGGTGTAAAGGACAATATGGGGGTTCTGGGGATTCCCAAGCCTGGGCCCTAGAGGTGAGTTCTCGCAAGGCCTCCAGATATCCTCCCCATCCATCCCCTCATCCTGTCTCACATATTGTAAAAACAAGGAAACTGAGGCCTAGAGAGGTAAGGGGCTTGAGCAGTCTCCCAGGCAGTTAGAGACAGAGCCCAAGTTAGATTCCATGTTTCTCTCATTTTTTTCCCCTAGGTCTGTCTCTGACTAGCTATGTGACCTTGGAAGAGTCACTCCACCTCTCTGGGCATTGACGGTTTACAACTTCTGACATGTTCATTCCAGAGGGTTGTCAGGACCTGACAGCCCTTCACCTAAACAAAACACTCTACAGTATACAAATACTCATATATCTCTTCTCTTCTCTGACCTCTGTAATAGCCCTATGAGGCTGTGAAAGTTGGTGCTTGTGTCCTATTACGCAGATGCAAATACTGGACTCAGAAAGACAAAGATCACACAGAAAGTTTGGTACAGGACTGGAACTAGAACCCAGGTCTCCCAAAGCAGGGTCCTTGCCATCACTAAGGCTAGGAATACATTAAGACTCCAAAATATGGAGAGTTGCTCAATGCATGCCACCAAGGTTAGAGCTGACCAACCCCAGAATGCTCAGCAGCTCTGGGACCCTAGAGTGGAGGACTCAAGGCAGAGGGTGATGCCTAAGTCACACACATCTGAGCTCCAATCCAAACTCCACTACGCAGCTGTGTGACCCCACTTTATGAGGCTCAGCATTCTCTACTACTAAATGAAACTATAGAAGGTACCAAAAAGCTCAGGATGAGGGGAGAACTGTACCCTGAATGCAAGACTGCCAGGCAGGTGGTAAGCACTCATTAGCTTTTGTTTCAAGCACACAAATCATATGTTGTTTTTCATCATGTCTCCCCATGGTGTCTGGTCTATGGCTCCAGAACCAGGAGGCTTCTGATCAATCCTTATGCTAAATGATGGACAGATAGATGGATGGGTGGTTGGACAAATAAATGGATGGATGCATGGATTGATAGATTGATGCTGGGATGAATGGATGGATGAATAGATGGATGAATGGATAAATGAATGGATGGGTGCTCAGAAGAGAAGACAGAATAAAACGGGATTCAAAATGAAAATAACAAGAAGATGATTGAAGGATGGGGCAGATACATGGAAGAGAGGTACAACATCCAGCCCTTCGGGCTCCACTCAGTCCCACAACCACATACCTTGGGGTAGCACTGGTACATGCCCCAGCTTATACCCCTGGGCACCATGATGCTGCCGCAGAAGGTTTCATTGAACTGGGGCCCATCATGGCTCAGGAGGAATGTACTGAGAGCCAGGAGAAGACCCATACGTTGAAGCAGAAGCAGAAGGTCTTCTCATCTGCCAAGGTCTCCTCACCTGCCATGGCTGCCAGCCAGGCCCTGGCCTGTGCACCCCTGCCAGAAGTGGCCCATACCATCCAGCATAAACATCCAGACAGGATCACAGGAAGAGATGAAGCTCTTGGATCACTGAAAATCAAAGTTTAAAGTTAAAGGGAGGGCAAGACCCTTTCAGCTGCAGGCCCATTCCCTGGACCCAGCAGTTCAGCAGGGCTGAAGGCAGCATGCTTCGGTAGACCAGTGAACCCACTCCCCACCCTCTCTCCTTCCCTTGGGGCCCAGAAGGCCTAGAGTGCATGTGTGAATATGGGTGAGGGAGCACGCAAGGGAGGTACAAGGGGAGGTTACAGGGGCTGGGCCCTAGACAAGCCTGTGACAAAACCTTCTTTGCCTACTTTGGGGCTGAACTGAGTACGCCTCTGATCCCACACCTTCTAGCCCCGGAAAGCAGGGTACAATTCTACAGCCAAAATATGTTAAAATGCTGCCAGAGGATTTCAGGATCCCACTGCCAGGTATTTCAGGATCCTAGATTTTAGACCCTTCAAGGATCCTGGTCATTTTAGACCCTTCAATGGTCCTGGTCATTACCTCTTTCCTCCTGCCCAGCATGTGCTCACACCAGCCCCTCTGCCTCATAGTCCTTCCCACAGGCCCTTTTTCTTACATTGTTTTAGAGAAGGTAAGCTCAGAGGGACTTTTAATCCATCCAGGATTCAGGCATGATGGCCCATATGTACTGGATGGTGACGATGCGCATGGCACCATTCTAAGCATGTTACAGTGATTAATTCACTTAAGGGACTCCACGAGGCAGGTATTGCTATACCCACTGTGCAGAGGACGCTGAGCACAGACAAGTAACTTGCCCAAGGTCACACAGCTGGAAATTGTAGAGAAGCTGGAATGTGAACCCAGAAGCTGTGCCCCTGGCCACAGGGCAATCCTGCTTAAAGGCAGCACGAGGTTATGGGTGAGAGCGCTGATGGCAAGGCAGGCTGCCTGGGCTTAGATCCTGGCCCCTGTACTGCGGGGCAGCATGGTCTTCATCACATTACCTGCCAGTTTCCTCCTCTGGCAGGGATGGAAACAGATTACCATCTGTTTCCTCCTCTGTAAAATGGGGATAATAAGGGTACCTCCCAGCATTGGCGCTATCTCCAGGCCTAAGTGTCCTGGGTCCTTCTGCCCCCTTTACACTCTGTGCAGCATCCAGACCTGCTTGTAATGAGCTCCTCTACTCCCCCACCAAAGCTCTGGTGAATTAATGTCCCTGTGGGGTATAAGTGACTGACAGTAACTTCCTCAATCTCCTTGCAGCCTAATCTGAGATGCCTTCTAAAGAATAGCATTCTAATGTGAAATTTTTTTCCTGTGAAAGGCTAATGGGAGAAATCAGATTCCTTTGCAAGGTTACAGAAAAAACAGGACAATGAGTATCTCTAAGAGAGAATGTTCACTTGGAGTGTCGATGGGGTTAGGTGGCCAATACAGGATGAAAGGCTTTCATTTGGCTCCCTGACTTGCTGGGTTTGGGGATTTCCC
Source organism: Homo sapiens (assembly GCF_000001405.40). Classification (NCBI taxonomy): domain Eukaryota; kingdom Metazoa; phylum Chordata; class Mammalia; order Primates; family Hominidae; genus Homo; species Homo sapiens. The sequence continues at coordinate 21,847,790 of NC_000017.11, read as the reverse complement.
TGGTCCTGATCATTACCTCTTTCCTCCTGCCCAGCATGTGCTCACACCAGCCCCTCTGCCTCATAGTCCTTCTTCTTACATTTTTTTAGACAAGGTAAGCTCAGAGGGACTTTTAATATGCCAATCAATGTTAATAAAACACAACTCAAAGACAAGTGCAAACATGCTTTCAACCAACATTAATGAGGAAACAAGACACAAATTCTTTTTCTATTTTATTTTATTTTATTTTTGAGATGGAATCTCTCTCTGTCGCCCAAGCTGGAGTGCAGTGGCGTGATCTCCACTCACCACAAGCTCCTCCTCCTGGGTTCACGCCATTCTTCTGCCTCCGACTCCTGTGTAGCTGGGACTACAGGCGTCTGCAAACACCCCCGGCTAATTTTTTGTATTATAGTAGAGATGGGGTTTCACCGTGTTAGCCAGGATGGTCTCGATCTCCTGATCTCATGATATGCCCGCCTCAGCCTCCCAAAGTGCTGGGATTACAGGTTGAGCCACTCAGCCTGGCCCTGTTTGTTCTTTTACATTAAATTTACAATGTATTTGCCACGTTTTAAAAATAAATTTAATTGGAATTTTATTGAAATTGTATGAGACATGATTTAGTCGAAGATGAACACACAACATTATTATTACTGTTTCCATCCAGCTATGGCATATTTTTGTTTTCTCTAGTTGTCTTTTATATCGCTCAATGAAATTTGTGGCTCTGGTACATTTCCTAATAATCATACATTATATTTCATTATTTCTAATTATTATAACGGGTTGCATGTACATTTACTATGTACCAGATATTATGCCATATATTCATTATCTCAATTCATAAAACAATCATGTGATTTAGTTGGTGTTATTACTAGATTATTAACATAGTACAAGTAAAGAAAATAAAGACAAAAGAAAAGAGACTCAGCAAAATCAAACCAATAAAGACTTAATTAGAATTGTTGGGCATATAATAAAAATTTAATACAACTCAATGAAAGCAAAAAAAAAAAACATTTTAAAAAATGACCAGGCAGATTTGAGGAGCCAAACAGAAATTCCAGAAATAAAAACATAATTGTTGAAATTGAAGACAGATTTGACAGCAGATTACATATAATTGAAAAGGAAAATGTAAACTGGAAGACAGGCTGAAGAAATTGCTCAGAAGGAAGCCCAAAGAAGTAAAAAATAAGGAAGAAACAAGAGACATGGAAGACAAGAGTGATAAGATATTACAACTAACAGGATTACATAAGCAGAACAATAAACTGTTAGAAAGGTTTTGTAAAAAAGATAATGGCTTGGAATTTTCCCAAAGTGATGAAAAATTCCACCCTTCATATTCAGGAAGCTCAAGTTGGACAGATTTAAAAGGAAAAAAAAATACCTAAATGTATCATCATAAAAATAACGGAACCCTGAAGAAAAGAATATATTGAAAACAACCAGAGAAAAAATTCACATTATCCATGAAAGAATATGGATTTAGACCAAGAGCTAATGTCTTAAAAATGGAAGCAAGAAGACAATGTACTAAGAAAAAATAATCACATATGAAATTAATATATCTTTTAATAAACAGGCCAAATATAAGACAATATTTAAGTCATAAAAACCAAACAAATACTAAATTTGCTAACTAAGAGACCTTCACTAAAGGAAATTCTAAGAGATGTTTTTCAGTATTAGGGTGTTCCCCTAGATGGAAGTCATGAGTTTCAAGAAGAAATGGTGAGTACGTAAGAAGACAAATAATGTGAATAAATATAAATGAACACTGACTATACAACATGTAGTTTCCAGTGGATTAAGAATAAGATGAGAAGCAAAACCATAAAACTTCTAAAGATAATATAGTAAAACTACCTTAATAGCCCCAGTGGGTTTTCATATAAAACCTAAACAAATTCTGTTCACCAAAAAAAAACACTATCAGGATCAAAGACCCAAATATAAGGGGTAAAACTATAAAATTTATAGAAGAAAACACAGGTATAAATCTGTGACCGTGAATTAGGCAATGGGTCTTAGATACAACACTAAATGCAAGACTGACAAAAGGAAAAAACAAACTGGACTTTAACAAAATTCAAAACTTTTGTACTTCAGAGGATACCATCAGGAAAGTGAAAAGAACCCACAGAATGAGAGAAAATATCTATTAGGTCATACATCTGATGAGGAACTAATGTCCAGAATATATAAAGAATTCTTAGAATAACAAAAAGACAACCCAATTAAATGAGCAAACAATCTAAATGAAGATTTCTCTAAAAAGATATACAAATGGCCAATCAGCACATGAAAAGATGCTCAACATCATTAGTCATTAAGGATATGCAAATGAAAACTAGATACCACTTCACATCTACAAGGATGGCTATATTTTTTTAAAAAAGGAAAATAACAGATGTTAGCAAGGAGGTAGGAAAAAATGGAACCTCCATACACTGCTGGTAATAATATAAAATGGTACAGAGACTTTCGAAAACAGTTTTGAAGTTTTTCAAAAATTTAAACATAGATGTACCATATGCCCACTACCAGATATATAAAGAAAATTGTAAAAATACGTCCACACAAAAACGAGTACATGAATCTCATCACAGTACATTATTAATCATAGTCAAAAAATGAACACAACTCAAATATCCATCAACTAATGAATGGATAAACAAAACATAGTATATTCATGCAATGGGATTCAGGCATATAAAGTAATGAAGTGCTGACACAAGATACGACATGGATGAATCAGGACAACATGCTAAATAAATGAAGCCAAACACAAAAGGTCACATATGATTCTGTTTTTTTTTTTTATATTTGGCACATGCTAGTCCATAGAGACAGAGAATAGACTAGTGGTTGCCAGGGGCTGGGAAAAGGGGGAAATGGGGAGTAACTGCTAGTAATATATTAAAATATTACATCTAACAAATATCTAGGTAGACTGATGGAGAAAAATACAGAAAATACACAAAAAACCAATTATCTGGAATGCGAAGGTTACAAAACGTCAGCAGTTATAGATTTTAAATAAGCAATGACTGAGTTCAACCATGACGGGGTATATTGAAAAGAATCAGAAAAAAAGAAAACTTATAAAGCTATGTACAAAACGTTAAGCACTATTAAAGTCTTCCAATTCTACCAGTTACGGAGTTATTAGTCTTGGACTAACTCTCCTGAAAAGAAAAAAACAAAACGAAACACAACAAAACCTAAAAACCTGGATAAAATGGACTACCGTGGGCACCGGCAATGCAACCAAGCAGGTAGGACATGGGTGCTACATTCTCTTTGTGAGAACACAAAGCATTCATACACTCCCGAGCCGGGGGAGCTGGACCAGGAGCGCCCCTCGGCGCTGCCCTTGCCAGGACGCCAGTGGAGCTGGCGGCCAAGTCTGCCGCTCCCGCCCTCAGAGCGGCGGCGGCGGGGGTAAAAATCCTCGGCGACGGGGGTAAAAAGCTGCGGCGGCAAAAAGCGGCGGCGGCGGGGGAAAAAGGCGCGGCGGCGCTGGCAAAAAGCCGCGGGAGCGGGGGGCAAAAAAACACAAAAAGCCGCAGCGGCGGGGGGAAAAAGCCACGGCGGCAAAAAGCCTCGGCGGCAAAATGCCTCGGCGTCGGGGGGCAAAAAGCCGCGGCATCGGGGGCAAAAGCCGCGGCGGCGGGGGCAAAAAGTCGCGACGGCAGGGGCAAAAAGCCCGGGCGGCAAAAACCCGCGGCGGCGGGGGCGAAAAGCCCCAAAAAGCAGCGGCAGCGAGGGCAAAAAGCCGCGGCGGCGGGGAGCAAAAAGCCGCGGCGGCGGGGAGCAAAAAGCCCCGGCGGCGGGGAGCAAAAAGCCCCGGCGGCGGGGACGAAAAGCCGCAAAAAGCAGCGGGGGCAAAAAGCAGCGGGAGCAGGGGCAAAAAACCACAAAAAGCAGTGGCGGCGGGGGCCAAAAGCCGCGGCATCGGGGGAAAAAGCCACGGCGGCGAGGGCAAAAAGCCCGAGCAGCAAAAAGCCTTGGCGGCGGGGGCAGAAAACCGCGGCGGCGGGGAGCAAAAAGCCGCGGCGGTGGGCGCAAAAAGCCATGGCGGCGGGGACAAAAAGGGGCGGCGGCTGGAAGCAAAAAGCCGCGGCGGCGGGGGCGAAAAGCCGCAAAAAGCAGCGGCGGCGGGGGCAAAAACCGCGGCGGCAAAAAGCCGGGCGGCGGGGGCCAAAAGCCGCGGCGGCGGGGGCAAAAAACCACAAAAGGCCGCGACGGCGGCGGCCAAAACCCTCGGCGACAGGTCAGAAAGCCGCAGCGGCAAAAAGCTGTGGAGACGGGGGCAGAAAGCCGTGGCGGCGGGGTGCAAAAAGGGGCGGGGGCGAGAAGCAAAAAGCCGCGGCGCTGGGGGCAAAAAGCCGCGTTGGCAAAACCTGCGGCGACGGCGGGTGCGAAAAGCACCGGCGGCCAAAACCCGCGGCGGGGGGAACAAAAAGTCGCGGCGGTGGGGGCAAAAAGCGGCGGCGGCGGGGACAAAAAGCCGCGACGGGGAAAAAAGCCGCGGCGGCGTTGGCAAAAACCACGTTGGCAAAAGCCGCGGCGGCGGGGGCAAAAATCCGTGGCGGCGGGGGCAAAAAGCCCTGGCGGTGGGGGTCAAAAGCCGCGTCAGCAAAACCCATAGCGGCGGGGACAAAAAGCTGCAAAAAGCCGCGACGGCGGGGACAAAAAACCGCGGCGGCGGGGGAAAAAAACACGGCGACAAAAGGCTGCGGCGGCGGCGGCGGCCAAAACCCGTGGAGGGAGAGGGGCAAAAAGCCGCGGTGGCGGGGACAAAAAGCCACGGCGGCCAAAACCTGCGGCTGGAGGAGCAAAAAGCCGCGGCGGCGGGGGGGAAAAGCCGCGAGGGCAACAAGCCGCGGCGGCGGGAGCAACAAGCGCCGGCGGCAGGAGCGAAAAAAAAGCAGCGGCGCGGGGCGCAAAAAGCCGCGGCGGCGGGGACAAAAAGGGGCGGCGGCGGGAAGCAAAAAGCCGCGTTAGCAAAACCCGCGGAGGCGGGTGCAAAAACCACCGGCGGCCAAAACCCGCGGCGTGGGGAGCAAGAAGCCGCCGCGGCGTTGGGGGGAGGGGAGGAAGAAGCCGCCGCGGCGGGGGGGGAGCAAGAAGCCGCAAAAAGCGGCGGCGGCGGGGACAAAAAGCCGCAACGGGGGGAAAAAGCCGCGTCGGCAAAAGCCGTGGCGGGGGGGGCAAAAAGCCGCAGCGGCGGGGACAAAAAGCCGCGCTGGCGGGAGCAAAAAGGCGGGGCGGTGGGCGCAAAAAGCCGCGGCGGCGGGGGCAAAAAGCCACAACGGCCAAAACCTAAGGCGGGAGGAGCAAAAACCCGCGGCAACGGGGACAAAAATCCCCGGCGGCGGGGGCGAAAAGCGGCAAAAAAAACGCGACGGCGGGGCAGAAAAAAGCCGCGGCGGCGGGGAGAAAAAAGCCGCGGCGGCGGGGGGGAAAAAGCCGCGGCGGCGGGGCGAAAAGCCGCAAAAAGCCGGGGCGGCGGGGGCAAAAAGCCGGGGCGGCAAAAAGCCTCGGCGGCGGGGGCAAAAAGCCGCGGCGGCGGGTCAAAAAGCCGCAGCGGCAAAAAGCTGTGGCGACGGGGGCAGAAAGTCGCGGCGGTGGGGGCAGAAAGCTGCGGCCGCAGGGGAAAAAGCCGTGGCGGCGGGGGCAAAAAGCAGGGGCGACAAAAAGACGTGGCGGCGGGGGCAAACAGCCGCGGTGGCAAAAACCCGCGGTGGCGGAGGCAAAAAGGAGCGGCGACGGGGGCAAAAAGCCATAAAAAGCCGCGACGTCGGGGGCAACAAGCTGCGGCGGCAGGGGAGAAAGCCGGGGCGACGGGGGCAACAAGCCGCGGCGGCAACAAGCTGCAGCGGCAAAAACCCGCGGCGGCAAAAACCCGCGGCGGTGGGGGCAAACAGCCGCGGTGGCAAAAAGCCACAAAAACCCGCTGCGGCCGGGACAAAATAGTGGAAATGGGGTAGAAGGCTAGCACAGCTTGGCATTCCTGGAGTGTGATGTGGAAGGAAAAGTGCAGCGGAAGACAAAGATGTAAGTAGGCTTGACTCAGTGCAGCTAAAAACCCAGATGTTATCTTGATGTTAGTCTATCAGCTAATTTTTTGTATTTTAGTAGAGAAGGGGTTTTACCACGTTGGCCAGGATGGTCTCGATCTCCTGACCTCATGATCCACGCACCTCAGCCTCCAAAAGTGATGGGATTAGAGGCATGAGCCACAAAGTGCTCAAAAAATCTATTAATTAAAAAATGTGTATGTAGCCGTCTTTAATCTACCATGTCCATTAGCAGATAAATACTATAAGCAAAATAACAACAATGAAAGAAACATAGAGTAGATACTCTGATTTATTTAATAAAAATTTGAAAATAGACCAAATTATGATAAAAAAAAAAAAATCTGTTACTATTGAGGATGAGGGTTAGTGTTTGGAAAGGGGCAGGACAAGTATCACTATTTTTAGTACTGTTCTATTTTCATACATGGTTCTAAGCAAATACATGTGTTAAGCTATCCATATTTAATCATTGTACTTTTCTGCATGTATGATATATGTCAATGAAATAAATTATATACAGCAAAAATAGACAAAACCACAAGAAGACATACACAAATGTTAAACCTAGAGAGAAATTTGAATATAAGTAAGTCTCTGAATGACTGGTAGAACAAACCGAAAAATAATCAGGATGGAGAGGTTTAGAACAGCATGATTAGCAAAATTGACATATCTGTCTTTTAATATGGGCAGAAACATAGATAAAAAAAGGATTTGTCTCAGCATAATTTCTGAAAATAGTGGAATCGAGTTTGAATCTAGTAAGTACATATAAATAAATGTCTTAAAACTCCTCTTATGTTAGCTAATTAAATATTGTAATAGATATTAGAAAATATTTTAATAAATTGAGTGGATTTCACACGCTAAGGAAATGATTTTACTTGCATTTGATAGCTCAATTAGATACATATATACCTATAGGTAGTTTAAAATATTTCTAATAACCTTATATACTTTTAAAAAGCATTGATATCTGTTTGCACTATCTGGTCTATAGAGTACACACACAAAACATGATTATAGATCTTCTGCTATAACCTTCAAGTGTCTAATTAATACAAAAATCTAGAATGAGAAGAGTTCTTTGCAATTTTTTTTTTACCAAATAGAATATAGGAAAGATAGCTGCAAATATACCTGACACACTTATCTGTGAGTATGGTGGTAGGCTTTTTATTTTATTTTATTTTGAGAGAGGGTCTCACTTTGTCACCCAAGATGGAGTGCAGTCATGTGATCAGAGCTCACTGAAGCCTTCACATACTGTGCTCAAGCGATTCTCCCAACTCAGCCTCCTGAGTAGCAGGGACTGCAGGTGCATGACACCATACTAGCTAATTTTTGTAAAGATGGGGTTTCACCATGTTGCCCTGGCTGATCTCCATCTCCTGGACTCAAGAGATCTGGCCACCTTGGCCTCCCAAAGTGCTGGGATTATAGTTTTGAGGCACTGCGATCAGCCCAGCCTTAAAAAAGGCTGACTAGAGATCTTTATCTATGTATATCTATATCTATCTATAAAATAAACATGTGTTTGTTATATAAAAATATATATTAATATTATATAAAATTTTTTTTCAAGGTAGAAATATATAAAGAGGGTGCATGTAGAGTCTGGGTCATTGTATAGTGAAACTCAAGGCCTCTGAAGAAATGCCCCTTGCCTCTTTTGTCTGTGCGAGAATCCGAGAAGGGAAAGCAGCAGATGCACTGGCTCCCAGGTTCTTGGCATCCCACAGAGAGAAACATGTTTGAGCTAGGGTAGCGTTAAACACCCTTGTTCTTACTCTCCTGTTTTATGTAGTGAGCAGAGACTAGCTTCATGAGAACAGACTGTGACAGTCAAGGCTGTCTGTTATTTTGTGCAGCATTAATTGAGAAATGCTAGAACCTGAAGACCTCTGGGCCATTTGAGGATAGGTGCAAGGGTAGAAAGGGAAGTTTACATCCCTCCTGCTGTGGAGAGATCCCGTGGGAAGCACAGACCTTGTCCTAACTGAAGGCAGACCCCCTTGCTAACCAGCTTCTCATCAGCCAACATTGGATGAGGTTCCATGTCTATTTACTAAATAATCCTTGTTGCTTTTCTTCATATGGGCAAAGTATGGTTTACATGGAATATTGTTCCTTTGAACACCCATCGTGCAAACCCCTTCCTGTTGTGGGAAAACAGGCTTCCATATGTGTCTTATTGGGAAACACATAGGCAATTTCTATGTTTTTACTGCATCTATGTCATGGATATAGGAACTGAATAGTGCCCATCAAAGGCTCACCTGATGTTGGAAATTGATCTGAGAGCGCGGAAGGACAGAATTCTTTCTTTGTTCCTGGGCAGCGGTGGTTGAGGGATCATTTTATGGCAGCTGCAGTGGCAATGATGGAAGCAGAATGGAGGGCTCAGTACCAAGACAAGGAGAGACTTGGCCTCACAATGGCAGCATTTCAGGGGTGGGCTCTACAGAGCATTTGCTCACATGGTTTTGGGCATTGTCTCTAACTACATTGCTTCCCCAATAGGTTGACCCATTCTAAGTAACTCCTTTTCTCTTTAAAAAAGCAAACTTCATTTGTATGACTTGCAATTGTAAATGACACCAATTGGCCAGTTATCATTCAAATTCTCTGTTACTTAATCCTGCCTTTTCCTGACCTATGCAACTTTCCCCTAAAAAATTGGACACTTTGTTGCTTACTCATTGTCTTTGCACATTTTAAAATGTTGCTTTATGCCCGCAATCCCTAACTACATTTTCAATGTTTTGCAAGTGGAGTCCATGTGTTCCTGATTTACATGAAGCTCAAAATAATGGTTATAGTAACTAGTACTTCATAATTAAGCAAAAAGCTCTTATTGAAAAATGACAGAACTATACATAGAGATGACAACATGGAGAGATATTTCCTGAGATCACAAAGTTATGGTACGGCAGAAGTAGAACGTTGAGTAGAGACTCTGTGTTCCCAATCATTATTTCTACAACCAGCTTTCTATTTTGATGTTAATAATGTTTTTATGTGGGAAACCCTACATATTTGCCAATGTTTAGTTCTTTGACAAAGAAATAGAGCTTCAAGAACACTCTAATCTTTAAAAAATAAAATGTCTATAATTGGCCATACGAAAAAATTGGTACTTGACATATACTGAGATCGTTTTATTTTGTGCTAGACAAATGAAGTTATAGAACAGAATGTGCTTTAAATATTATGAATAGTGCTTGCGTGTGTGTGTGTGTGTGTGTGTGTGTGTGTGTGTGTGTGTGTCTATAGATGCATATTAGGCCGCTGAAAAGTTTTATTATTCTTTCCAGGAGAGAGACTGCCAACTTTTGAACCTAATTAGAACAAGTATATTGCTTCTTCATACTTTTATTAAGGCAAAGAGAGTCTAGTTAAAAATAATTCAACTTGTGGTGGAAATGCTATAAATTGCTGTGAAGTGAGTTGCTGGCTATGGCTTGTCAGAGCAAATATATTGTACAAATCTTAGGGGAGAATTAGTGCTTATGCATTAAAATCAAATCATCTTGCAGCACACTGAGAAAAAGGTTAGATTTTTAAAATAATTTCAAAGTCATGAAAAGATCAAATATGCTCAACAAAGAGCCTAGCAACCCTCAATGACCAATTCCCCTTTTATATAGTTTGGTATCTGAATTAGAATGCCAGAATCTACAAATTCCTCTGGGTGTGGGTACTGCATTTTGAGGATTTTATAACACTGCCATCACCAAGCTCTCTTTTGATATTCACTTTAAGGAGATAATTTATGGGCAACCAGAGAGCATAAAACAAAGTAGATATCTATCTAGATATATAGATACATCTCCATCATTGACAGGATACCTTCTGGCCGAGTGTGAGTACAACCTATGGGTGTGGCTGGAGAGAACATGTGTTCCACCTGAATGGCAGATCAAGATTATTCCTTCTCATCTGCTGCAATGGCTCAATGTGTTAAGGAGAGGAGTGAGACAGCAGGAACTGCATTCATTCAGTCATACAGACCAAAAGGAGGAATGTCGCCCAGCCCGCTAAACTGACCCAGAACCCAGCTCATGTCTCAACTGCTACCTCTACTACTTAGAAAGAAGTAACTCCACCAAAGCAGGGTTCTGGACAAATATATTTTTATTGATCATATACAAATAGATGAAGATGGACTTGGATGTTAAGAAAAATAATACTATATAAAATCAAGAGTAGACAGTCGCCCCCTGACTTAAATTAAGAGTGTGTACATTAGATAATTTAATCCAATGTATCAGGTAAAAACTTGAACAAACCTTTTGGCCTCTTCCTTAAAATTCAGGGAAGCATGTCCTCCACAAAACAGAATCAAAATATAAATAAAAGACTGGCTCAAGATGAAAGGAAACCTTATAAATGAAAAGAAGCCAGATGAGAGGCACTTAACTGAGAATGAAAAGAAACTGAGTGGACAAAATAATTATGAGAAGATGAACCTTCAAATCAGAAAGAGGGAAAAAAGCTTATTTGCTACTATGGGAACTCAAAAGAGAGTGAACACAAATGTGAAAATTCCAAGAGTACAGAAAAGTAGCATATCTAAATTAAGAGCATGAGAAAATGTATACAATTTTGAGTAATAACAGAAATCAAAAGTAAGTATTGTATGTTATATTTTAGTAGACCAACACTGAAGAAGAATGAAAACAAGAAATAATATTAAATATGAACATATGGAGAACAGAATAGTATTTTTAAAATTTTTAGTTTCTAAGCTTATCTGAAATTTTAATTTTGATGTCTTATGTAATACCAGAGTTATTAAGAAGGTATTAGCTAATAACACTATTTTCAGTGATATTTTAAGTATTTGTTCTAGAAAAATGTCTATTTTTTAAAAATGTATATTTAAAAATACATTAAATGTGTATGTACATCAATCATGTATCGATTTCTGATTTTTTGAATTGCAAATGAAATCTGTATTTTTGTGTTCCTGGAATAAAATAAACTTGAATGGATTGTAATATATTATTCATACTGTAATTCAATGTGTTTGAATACTTTAAGAATGTTACATTTATAGTTAACAGATATTGACCTATAAATTTTCTTTCATATAATGATGCTGTGAGATAATCTAAGAAGAATTAAAATTTAAATTCATGTATTCATACTTTTTTCTCCGTTCTCTAACTGTAATATATCTTAATTACAGATGGAGGAACAGATAGATGTTAGATAAATAGGTATATAATAGATCATCCAAAATTCTTACTGTTATGGTTTTATGTAGTCAGTATTTACCTCTATTTTTCTACATGTTTATCCTTCCAATTTAGTTCATTACTTCCTGCACCTTTGATGTCATATATATAAATAGGAAATAACACATGGTGGCCGGGATGTAGAGAGAGCCACAGGACTTCTGAATAAAATCCACAGGCAAGGATGTGGCGATTCCTTTTGCAGTTTTGGAGGGAATGCCAAACCCTATGTTTGCTGTGGAAAAGAGTATGGTAGTTCCTCAAAACATCAAAATGGTATTGCCATATGATTGAGCAGCGCCACATCTCAGGATAGCAAAAGAATTGAAAGCAGAGTCTTGAAAAAATATTTGCACATCCATGTTTGCACCAGCATTATTGGCAATAGCTAAAACGTAGTAGCAATTGAAGTGTCCAACAACAGATGAATGGATAAGCACAATATGATATATACATACAATGGAATATTATTCAGCCTTAAACATGAGGGAAATATTCTGACATATGTTGCAACTTGGATGAAACTTGAGGATATTATGCCAAGTGAAATAAGTTAGTCAGTGAAGGACAAATACCGTATAATTCCATTTGTATAAGGGACTTAAAGTGGACAGAATCATAGAGATAGTACAATGATGGTTGCCAGAAGCTGGGGGGAGGAAGGCATGGGGAAGTACTGTTTAATGGGTATAGAGTTTCAGTTTCACAAGATGAAACGAGTTATGGAGATGGATGGTAGGGATGGCTGCACAATGTTATGACTCTAGTACCACTGAACTGTACACTTAAAATGGTTAAGAGTACATTTTATGTTATGTGTATTTTACCACAATAAAAAATAAAATACCTTAGGAACATTTTCATGAAAGAGTCCACATAAAATTCATTTTAATGCATGTGTTTATGCATAGCTTTCTATTCTTCTCTTTTCTACTTATATTCCAAATTAGAATATAATGCTAATCAAGCATAGTGGCTGTGTTTCTTGCTGCCTCTAGTCTTCAGGTAGCATACAAATGTAATAAACTACTTATTAATGTCACATCTATTTATTTTCTGCCTTATACCAAGCTTGTGGGATTCTCTTAAATACAACATTTTTATACTTACACCTAATGCAATACCCATTAGCATCGCCTTCCTAAATCAGGGGAAATTGAGCCTCTGTAAGGTGGAGTAACTTCCTAAAATACAAAACTCAGCATTAAAGTCTGTATACTTCAATAACCTGCCCCCTTCTCATTTGTCTTTACTGCCTTTTATGTATGTGTTAGATGTTCAATAAATTCTCTTTTTAAAACGGAATTTAAGCCGTGGAGCAGTGTTTTCTTTAACAATAAATATGATATAGGACACTCTTCCTCCCTTTCATTTATGATGCAGTTCATGAAAAACAGAAATTCTTTCGTTGTGCTAGAAGCTTAAAATAATGAAAATGCCACTTTCTACATTAAACAGAAACTGAAGGGAATCAAGGTTAATTGCATGAGACATAGAAAACAAGCGGGAAAGAAATCTAGTATAATTTCCCCTTTGTGTAACTTTGTTATTTAGCATTTGAGAAAATGTTTCCCCCAAATATATTCCCATCTTAATTCATGTCTGTAAGGTAGACATTTATGTCTCACCTTGTCAAGAAGGGCAAACTCTAACATAAACATTTCCCAAAAATGCTTCCTGCTAAAATGTAAGCTCAGTCTGGCTAGAAATTAAGCTCACTTCATAAAGATAATTGGTAGCTAATCTTTGCATGCTGTTCTCTGAACTTGAGTGAAAGCTGTCCATCAGGCATACAGGGAATCATGGAAAAGGTGACAAGAGAAGATGAATGCTATGTCACTAACCTTCAAAGATGACTTTCCTTTTCTTTCAAATTCTTGATATCTTAAGACTTCATTAATTCATCTCTCTTTGCCCTTGGTTCAACATTGTGCTATACCAAAACTCATGTAAAACAATGATCTAAGGTAATAAAAATGGCATTTTTCTTTCATGTAGATGCAAGCTAACTGGCATTTTTACAATCAACATATTTCCGTTGTCAATTTTTCATTCTGTATTGGAAGTAATTCATAGGTATTTCTGAAGGGATGAAGATGTTTCTGTATTCATTGTGATCCAAACTTTTTTTAGACCGACTGGTGTTTGTAAAACAATTTGTGCCAGCTGACCAAGGACCACTGTGGCAGAAAGCAGCAAACTTGCCTAAGATGTCACTGCCTCATAAGTTGGCTTTGAAAACTAGGGGCTTACTCTATAGTCCTATGAATCAAAGACATTGATAGATGTAGTATAAGGTTACAATCATATTTTCCTTTTGACAGTCACATTATAAAGCATGATGTATTGCAATTAATCTCAACTAGCTGATCACAATTAAAATTAATAATGTTTATTATTGCTGATAAACAATCATAACTCTTCTGTTCTCAAATGTGCAAGTAATTCTTGTAATTTTAATACAAATTTGCATATTACTAATTGATTTAATCTCATTGGATTTGGTTCATGGATCCAATTTATTAAAATATTGATAATGCGGTAATGATTTGTCTCCCCATTTCATTTACACTAAAGCCACAATTCTTACAATGGTCTGCAAGCCCATCATGATCTGTCGCATGTTAACCGCCAAAATTATTTTATATCTTCGCCCTTGATCTTACCAGTGGCCCTGGCCACCTCACTGTCCTCTGGACGTGCCAACATGCTGCTGTCTCATGACCAAGACTCTAGTTAATTTCTTGGCTTGGAAATATAGCCCTCCATATATCCATTGATCAGCTCATTCAACTTCCTCAAGTCTTTACTGAAACCTCACATTCTCGATGAGACCTATTCAGTATTTCAAACTGCCTCCCAGCTGCAACAGTCCAAAACCCCTTACTCTTCTGTGTATTTTTGAAAGGATTTATTGAGATATAGTTTACATAGTATAGAGTGCACACATCGAATGTCTACAAGTCAGTGGCTTTTATAGTATATGCACAGATAAGTGGAGCCATCATCACAATGAATTTTAGAGCATTTTCATCACTTCAAAAAGAAACCCCACCTTCTTTAGCTGTTAACCTCCTATGCACCCATCCCCTCCTCAATCCTAAGCAACCACAAATCTGTTTCCTGTCTCTGTAGATTTTCCTATTCTATTTTCATCTAAATAGAATCATACAATAGGTGGCCTTTTGTGCCTGGCTTCTTTCAGTTGGCATAATGCTATCAAGGTTCATGTGCGTATTGGTACTTTATTTCTTTTTATAACTGTATAACATTCAATTGCATGGATATAACATTTTGTTTATCCAATAACATTTTTATTGACATTTGAGTTGTGTTCAGCCTTTGGCTATTGTAAATACTGCTGCTAAAAATACTTGTGTACAATTTGTGTTTGAACACCTCTTTCCAATACTCTGAGTGTATAACTGGGAATAAATTTCTGGGACATATGACAATTCTATGTTTAATATATTTAGAAGCCATCAAACTATTTTCCAAAGTGGCCAGTTCTGGCCATAGAGTATCTAACTGTGGTTTTGATTTATAGTTGCCTGATGAGTGCTGCTATTGAGAATCTTTTTATGGGATTATTGACCGTTCGTGTATCTTCTTGGGAAACACATCTTTCCTAGCATTTATCAGTTTTGAGTTGGGATATTTGTTACTGAGTTAAAACAATTTTTCTATATTCAAGATACATATATATACAGACATATAGATATGTGTTTTTCAAATATCTTCTCACAATTTTTGAGCTGCCTTTTGACTTTCTTGGTTGTCCTTTGAAACACCAATGTCTTTAATTTTTAAGAAATTTTAAATATCTAATTTTTATTTTTTTGCTCATGTTTTTGGTGTTACAGCTATTTCTTTGCTAGATCAAAAATCCTGAAGATTTTCCCATATGCTTTATTCTAGCTCTGCATGTATGTCTTTAGTTCATTTGAGTTAATATTTTTGTATGCTTTGGGGTAAGGGTTCGAATTTATTATTTTGCAAGTGGTGATCCACGTATACGTTGTTGACCCAGTGTGTTCAAAGACTGTCTCTTCCTCATTGAATTGCACATGGCACCACTGTAAGAATCCATTGACTATAGATACACAGTTTTATATATGGACTCTCAACTCTCTTCCATCAGTCTATATATTTTTCCTTCATCAGTATTATGTTGTCTTGATTACTGATGCTTTGCCGTAAGGTTTGGAGCACGGAGGTGTGAATTATCCTAATACGTTTTCTTTTTTTCAAGACTATTTTGGCTATTTTGAGTCCCTTACAATTCCATGTGTATTTCAGAATCAGCTTGTCAGTTTCTAGACAGAAGTCTGTTGGGATACTTGCAGGGATTTCGTCAAATCTGTAGTTCTAATTGTAAAGTAGTACAATGTTAAATCTTCCAATTCATGGCTGTAAGATGTTTGCTAATTATCTAGATCTTCTTTAAACAATAATTTTTAATTTTCAGAGTAAAATCTTGTATCACATTTTCCAAATTAATTATTATTTCTTTTTTTGATGCTATTGTACATTGAAGTGTTTTCTTAACTTCATTTTGGGGTTTTCATTGTAGATGTGTGCAATTGATTTTTGTATATCTTCTATGCTGTAATATTGCTGAAATAATTTACTAGTTCTATCGTTCAGTGGATTCCTTAAAATTTTCTATATACAAGAATGTTATTTGCAAAAAAAGTTTTATTTCTTCCTGTTCAATATGGGTGACTCTTATTTCTTTACTTGCCGATTTGCCCTGCATAAAATCTTTAGTATAGTGTTGACTAGAAGAGGTCAAAGTATATATCTTATTCTTATCTCTGACCATAGCGGGAAAGTATCCTTTCTTTCACCACTAAGTTGAATGTTTGCTGTTAGCTTTTCACGGGTGCCATGTATCGGGTGTAGAAAGTTCTCTATTCCTGGTTCATTGAGTTTTTATTTTTATTTGTAATCATTAAAGCATTTGGATTTTGTTAAATGTCTTTTCTGAATCTATCGAGATGATCATGCAATTCTCGTTTCTTATTCTATGGGTAAGATGTATTACCTTAATGGATTTTGGGCTGTTAAACCAACCTGGGATTACTAGTATAAATTTCACTTTGTCATAGTGTATAATTCTTTTATATGTTGCTAGATTTGATTTGTTAGTATTTTTTAAGGAATTCTGCGTTTATACTTACAGTAGTTTTATTTTTCTATGCTATTTGCACTAACTTTTGTATCAAGGTAACACTGGCCCAACAGAATAAATTGGGAAGTGAATATTTCTCTTTTTAAAAAAGTTAGTCAAGAATTAATATCAATTAGTCAGTACTAACAAATATGATTAATATTATAAATTATTAATTTATCTAATTTTTATTTTCTTCCTTCTGCTTGCTTTAGGTTTAGTTTGCTATTTTTTCCAGTGCCTTAATGTGGAAGGTCATCTTATCTCATCCTTTCCTTTGTCTTTTCATTTTCTAAATCGTGTCTTTTTAGCATCAGGTGAGCTCCCCAGGTTGGTAGTACTCCATGTTTATTGCTGTACAACAATGACAGGTAATATGTCCTGAAGACAATGGAAACTTAACATTCAAAATCTCCTAGATTCCACCTTATATGATATGTCTCTTCAATTCGTCCTAATTTCTACCCTTTCTCTATTATAAACCATGAGTACAATGGCATTCAATGAGTTCTGTGAGTCTTTCTAGTAAATACTTGAAACTGAGGGTGTTCTGGGGAAACCCCTGAACGGCAGTTGGTGTCAAAAGTGAGAATCGTCTTATATGGCCTCTTCCTTTGAACTTTGCAGCTGGACCCAAACTCTGCACAATTTGGGCCAGAAGTCTCGTGTTGACTTTGCAGCCTAAAGTATCCTGTAGTTTGTGTAACCCTCAATAAATTTGCTTTCATCAAATATTGTATTTGTTACCCCAAAATTACCATCATGTTTTTTTCTCC
The DNA here is from genome assembly GCF_000001405.40 of Homo sapiens. Taxonomy (NCBI): domain Eukaryota; kingdom Metazoa; phylum Chordata; class Mammalia; order Primates; family Hominidae; genus Homo; species Homo sapiens. The sequence continues at coordinate 21,830,515 of NC_000017.11, read as the reverse complement.
AAATAACTAACATTGGGAGAAATAGCCAGCTGAGTCTGTAACTCAACAGAAACAAGTGATCCATATACCATATAAGTGGCCATTTCATTTTGCCTCCCTCCACCAAATCTTAGCAACCTCAACCATTGCCATGAGCCACTGTAGGCCTACCAGCTACAAACAAACAAGTATCTTTTAAAAACACTTCACACTCCCATTTGATAAATTTCCCAGCAAAGAGATGCCTACTTTATGCAAGTGGCTCATATTCGCGAAGTCTGGAGATATTATTCATGTAGTGTGAGAAAATCATCCCAGCGATGCCAGCACATTCTCCTTCCCATGATCTGCTAGGTTTGAAACATATTCAGGCCATGGGTGAGAGATTTGTATTTCACAGTACAACAATTTTATGGAGGGCACTGAAAATTAGATTGAGCATTTTAGTACAGTCACACATTACTGAATGATAGGGATACGTTCTAACAGGTGCATCCATAGGCAATTTCATCGTTTTGTAAACATCACAGAGAATATTACAAACACCTAGATTGTACAGCCTACCACATCTAGGTTATATGGTAGATCCTCTCTCTCCTAGGCTACAAACCTGTGTACTACATTACTGTACTGAATACCACAGGCAATAAGAACACAGTGGTAAGAGTTTATGTATCTAAACATACTTAAACATAGAAAAGTATGTAAAAATATGTATTAAAATCTCATGGGACCACTTTTGTATATGTAATCCGTCTTTGAAATGTTATTATGCATGACATGACTCTATGACAAAAATAAAATAACACATTGTAAAAAATGTACACATGTATCAAAGATAATATTATAAAAATAAAAATATTTATTCAGTGTAAGAATTTGTAACGATCACAAAATGTTCACAGCTTATATTTTAGTACAGTTTCAAATGCCTAGTGCAATTACTATTTATTTCTTTGTGTATTTTAAACACGTATATAATAAATATTTTTCAGGTTCAACAATATATCTCAATCCAACTGGCTCTTATAAATATTAGTTAAAATCAATTAGTAAATTCATGTATATATATATACACACGTGTATCAGTGAGTGTGTGTGCATGTATGGGTGTAAATGTAATTGTATGTGCGTGTAAATGCAATTGGATGCATCCTACTGTTTACCCTTACCTACAGGATTTCCAAGATTCATTTATTATCTTTAGTTGATGTGCATTTGAAGATTTACCAAATAAAACTCTAATCGTGGAAAATATCAAGATGTTATTAAATTCATCTTTTGCACATAATTATTTCTTTAAATTGATGTTTCTTGCAAAACTTGCAGTAATGCTCATGCACAAAATAATTTTCTAAATAAAAAATAAAAACATTGTCTCAGTAATTAATTCTTAATAATTATTTCTCCCCAATAATTAATGTGAATTAATTCTTAATTCTTAATTATAGAATAATCTTGCCTTTCAGAGTTCTGAATCTTTTGCATGTTGTATATATTTCACTAACTAGGACAACTTCTGAAATATTGGCATTAATTAATGTCAATCAGCAATTATTGGTTTCAAAGAAATTAAATAACATTCATATTCTGAATCACAAGGGTACTGTGGCATCTAATTTAATCAAGCTCTTTGTATCATCATCTACACTTTAATTTCTTGACAAACATTTGTTTGTGTGAGAAAGATTGAGCAGGTTATTGTGCTTTTTTAAGATGCAACTTTTGCTTAATCTAGAGATAGGCAATGCTCCCTATAAGGGACAAAGAGAAAAATGAGTGAGCAATAGCGATGTGACAGGCATGGAAAAAGACAATACATTTATAAAACAAATAGAGCCACAGATGACGATAATGGGGATCAAATCTTGAGATACTGACTCAGTTTATAACCGCACTGTATAATACAGCAAATCATTTGTTAATTTTTTGACAAATGGAATTTAAATTAATTAAGATGAATACAGTGTTTTAAAAAAGGCAGGTCATCTTAAAATAAAATAGTGGATAAAGTGATAAAACCAATGTAAAAATCATAAACATTTTATAAGGAATTTTTGTCATGTAATTTAATATTTTTGTTTATTTAAAATCACCCAAATCAAAATAATTATATCTTAATTAACAAATAATCATCAGAAGTTAACTAATTTTTACTTTATAATACTAGGTTTAAAAATTCTTAACTGTATTTTTAATCATATATGCTTATATATAAAATAGACATCGAATGTATATTTACATGTTCACAATATTATATTGTAATTGTTCCTACAGATTTGGTTTTTCAATAGAATTAATAAGTACTTTTAAAATTTTTCAATTTCAATGATATATATGTTTGATTTTTCTTTGACAAAGCATACATATATTGATAGTTAATAATATGAAAATATTCTAAAGACATTACAGGAACATGAAAATGTAATTAAATCCTCACTAATTTGTAATGTTTTATGTAAGCGGAACACATTTAACTGAAAATTCCTTTTATATAATACTCAAACGCGACTAAAAACATATTAACTAGTGGAGTAAGTCTTCAAATTGATAATCTGAACTATATAAGAGGAGAAACTTCAGGCACTCAAATATTTGAAATGCTACAAAATATTTCTTTAAACTATTATTTAACAATTTCTGTTTGTAGAGTGCTATACAGCAATCACTATAAATGGCATCTCAAGTCTTTCTCTAGCTTTGACCACATTTACCTCCTAATTTTAATTATTAGTATGTTGGAGCAGTGCATACAACTAGATTCCGATCTTCCTTTTTAATGAGTAAAAATATGTCCTTTGAGACACCATTAAAGAAAGAGCACCTTGTATAAATTCAATGCCAAGAGACAAGATATTCTTGATTCTGAAGTCTTGTTCTTTGATACAGCAATGTAATTAATAATAAGAAGAAAACATGACATAGATGTGGAGTCTATTTTAATCAAAAATTGTCCATAGAATTTGATGATAAAATTTAAAAATCTACTATATTTAGTTACAAAAAACTAGGTTGTGGGAACATATTTGGTCAATAAACACCCCTACCAAGTGCTGACAAGAAAAAAAGTTAGGTACCACCTTTCTCCTCTGCAGATGGCCTGAGATGGGTTAATTTGAAAGAATGCTTCCAAACCTGAGGTGACCCCCGAGAACAGCATAATCCACTGCTGTCTCCTACATTCAGTTTCTCAGTTTGTGCTCTTTTAATTTTGGGGGGAGAGAAGCCAGTCCTTTAAACCGATCTTCAGCAAGGTGGCAGAGCCAACGAGTGTGGACAGGTGGCACGGTGTCTGACTTTGTTCCAGCAGCCACTTGGGCATTCTCTGGGTCTTCTCTGCCCTGGGGATAGCACCAGTATTGAAAACATGTCTTTGTAACATTCTCTATGCCAGGAACTCCCAACACATTTTCCTTGAAACTGATGAAATGAATAAAAATAAACCAAGAAGTGTGCTGTTTGTTTCTGTTTCCTCCTTTCTGCAGCCCTTCTTCATCATCTAATATTTTTAAATACATTCTCGATCACCAAAAGGAGCATAAGGGCTTTAGTGATTTGTAGCAGATGTATAAATAGCCCAGCCCCTATTCCTTACCTGTAGCTGCTGGGAAGAAAACCATTCTTAACACTCTACAAGGTCTCATCTCCAGAATTTGCACCTGTTTCTAGCTGAGGACTTTGTCTAGCAGCACGGGAGCTTGATACTGGGGATGAAGTGGGAAGAAAAGGTGAGGGTAACTAAGAAGAATCTCCCTGGATTCAGTGATGTAATTCTGAGGCATGCTCCACATAGCTTCCCATAGAATTAAGCCCAGATATCTAACACAGGAACTTGCCTCTTAACACGTGTGGTATTGGCTTTTCTATCTTTCCTGTTTTAGTTTGTTCTCTCTTGCTTGTCTCACTTTCGCTGTGTCCTCACTCCTGCTTTAAGAATACCCAAACAAATAATTCATTAATTTTTTTAGACTCTCAGAACACAGTTGATAGTTGAACTTGTAATCTATGATAATCAGCTTGGATGCTATACTGACAGGAAGATGGTGAACTCACCATGTCTAATTAAGATAAAATTTAAAAATATATTGATTCATGTCCAAAGATTTAAAAAACCTAAGTGGCAGTGTCACAATTTCTTCTTTTTAGTTTACATGGTTTCTTAAACGCCTACAATTATTTTAAAGGAAGCCTTGTGTCTAGGAAAAATTGAGACATATGGAATAAATTACTAACCCATTTCTCCTTGAAATCCATTAGACGCTTGATGATTTTTCACATATATTTCTGAATTGAAAAGCTAGTTGTGAAATATTTTTATAAGCATATCCTTATGTAATATTTTGTTTTTAACTGAATTGAAGGTTTAAAGATTAAATTATTCTATCCAGAGAATAAAAAGCAATTATTTCACAAGGAGAACATGGGTATGTTGACACGACATTTTAAAATCTAGATTTTGAAATAGGTCCCATATACTTTTAAGTCAATTAGAATATGTTTGTATCAGTGTGTCTACAGTTTTACACCTGTCAAAATGTACTTGAACTACAAGTACCTTGAACAATTTTGTAATTTATTATTCCTCTGAAACTGGTTAAAAGAATTATGGTCGAGTGAAATTCTGATTGGCATAATTTGGGAGAGAAATTATTCCTTGGATATCAACCTCTGCCAAGATAGTTTATAATGACATTGAGAAGAGGCTGGGGCACATTTTTTTTTCACTCTTCCTAAATATTTACATATTTAGCCTCTTCTCAATGTTCAGGAATCGGTCATCTTTATTTACTACAGAACATAAAAGAGGGCCGGGCGCGGTGGCTCACGCCTGTAGTCCCAGCACTTTGGTAGGCCAAGGCGGGCGGATCACGAGGTCAGGAGATGGAGACCATCCTGGTTAACACGATGAAACCCCATCTCTACTAAAAACACAAAAATTTAGCCGGGCGCAGTGGCGGGAGCCTGTAGTCCCAGCTACTCGGGAGGCTGAGGCAGGAGAATGGCATGAACCCAGGAAGCAGAGCTTGCAGTGAGCCAAGATCGTGCCACTGCACTCCAGCCTGGGCGACAGAGCGAGACTCCGTCTCAAAAAAAACCCAAAAGAACATAAAAGAAAATATGCACAGATAACGTAATGACAATGATAAAAAATATTAATGAAAACACCTTATGAAAGAAGAAAGTCCCTGCAGTTAGTTTAGAGGCCTAGAGGCAGAATAGATGGCATGGCCATTGAGGGGAGGCAGACCTGGCTTCTTCCCCCAGTATATGTGTCTCCGTGTATACACAGCTTTTACTCATAGGACAATTAAGCTCTCTGAGCCTCAGATGCCCCATTAGTGAACATGGGGAAGAAAAACAACCTCACACGATTAAACACAGCACACATGCAAGGCAATTGGCACTCAAGATGCTCAAAGCATATATTGGGTCTCCTACTAGAGGAACATTGTTTTTTTCAATTAAGTAGAGATATATGATTATTTTTGGATCTAGGAAAATGGCATAATTAAATAGTCCCAGGTTTTATGTTTGATATCAAAGAGAACTTGTTGGATATCCTGATGAGAAATATGTAAAATAATAGTATTTCTGTCTTTTCCTATGACTCTTACTGAAATCAGTAAAGGTGGACACAGAGTTTGACAGAGAGAGCCATGAGGAATGACCTCTCCACATATCATATGGAAGCACTGAGAATGTGTGCAAGGGTTGGGAAGACAGAGCAGTGCTGTGCGTAATCCCCAAGAGGGAAGAAGAGAGCACGCACTCTCAGAAGAATGGATATTGGCACTCAGCACCAGGAAATATTTCTAACCCCTCTCCCAGAAGAAAATTGCAATAAATAAACCCAACATTTACAGGGAGGCTAGCAGAAAATTTCAAATGCAAAGGTGAACACATAACCAAAAATTACCAATCATTTGAAAGAGACTAATACCTGAAAGAGAGGCACAAAGCACAATAATCAGAAGAAACTGGCATGCCAAGAAAACAAAGTTAAAAGGACAGTTGATACAAGAATTTAGAATAAGTGTGTTTAATTACCAGAGTGATGCGAGAGGATATTGCAGCCATACTTAGAGTTAACTAGATATTTGTTAAATTTAAAATGTGATATGTGAAATAAAGAAAAACATGAGGGACACACTAAAGATCAAAACGAAAACAAACTGGAGAGATAAAATGTTAACTCAAGAATTCCTGCAGAATATAGAATAACAGGAAAGTGTGATCAAAATTATGAAAGAAAAGTTAACAGATATTAGATCTCAGGTCTAATGGGCCATTAAAAGTTGCCAAGCATGATGAAGATAAAAAGATCTGCATAAAATTTCATAATACCAAGGATGGAGAGAAAAATGCTACAAAGATCCACAATTATACTAACTTTGACATCAGACATTTCATCAATGACATTGGATGCATGAAGAGAATGAAACAGTATCCTCAAGGCTAAGAAGAAAAATAGTTTTCACCTAATTCTATAGCAAGTAAATGTATCATCTATTTAGGAAGAAAAAATATGTACTCAGTCTAATATTGGTCCCCTCTGAAAGAGCTGCCAAAGACTTTACAAGATAAGAAACAAATCAAGAAGTGAGGAGTAGGTTTTAGAAACAATATTAGTTAAAGAAACCAAGATAACAAACAATATTGCCTAATTGTGAGTGAGGCAATATGTCGACATGAACTGCTGACGCATGCCAAAACTTGGATGGACATCATGGACATTACGCTGAGTGGGAGAAAAAAGCCAATCTCAAAATTTACTCCCATGCATAAATAGTAGTAGTTGGGGTGGTGACGGTAATAGTTGCTAATTACTTAGTGCTTAAACTAAGTGCCAGAAACTGTTTTTAAATGTTGTATATGTACAACTGATGACAGAGACAACTAACGGGCTCTGTACATTGATTCAATCCTGTCTGAGGATGACCATATAGAAGCATAAGGAGAGGAGACAAGTGACTAAGACAGTGGCCAAGTTTCTCATTTGGGATACCATTCACAGACAGGGAGAAGAAGAAGCAGAAGACATTTGGAAGAAGAAAAAACATTCCAATTGAACAAGCTGACTTTGAGATTCCTATGAGCAGGGGTATGCAGACAAACCTGCTCTCCCAGAAAACAAAAACAAAAAATCCTGTTTACAGCCTTTGATGATTTCCATGATGCAAATGTACCCGTGATGGCCTATTTCAAGCTACCAAGATGATGTCACCAAATAAGCAGTTGGAAAGAAATGTGCATGAATAGGCTTTCATAAGCTAGCACAGGCTGGGTTCAGCTCACCTCTACCAGTGAGGATTTCCAAGTGGAAACATTTTGAAGACACTGAGATATGCAGAGCCCAAGCTAAGGAGTAGAATCTAGGTGAGACATTGATTTCAGAATAAATGAGATTATCTGGCCATAGGGTTCTAAGAAGAATTCTGATTTGCAGTTACTTACGGCTTAGACAAATGTGATCTTGATTAAGGGTTGCAAGTAGAAAATAGATGCAAAAATAAGTATGATATAGAGGATGCGGTAAATAAATCCCAAAACTCTGCCATCAATAAAATTCTTTCTGGCAAAGAAGCTCTCTGGCCACTCTCAAACGAGCCAATTCTAACCAAAGTTGGTAGTGCATCAGCGGAAATGTCAGACCAGGGATAGGAGCCACAGAACTGCTTGGTTGTCAGGACCAGAATCTTGTGACATATCAGCAATCCAAGGTAGGTGGATTCAGCCTGAGGTGATTCTCCTCTCGAATGAGGGAGTTTTCGAGGGACTCTCCTCTAGAATATCCATCAATCTAATGAAGGCACAGACACATAAGGAGATACAACAGTGTAGCACATATTATTACAAAGGTATGCATACGAGACTATAAGAGCACAAAGGAATAAATTATCAATGAAAATGATTGAGGAAAGAACAGTTGGCATTAAAGCTCAAACCCAAACAATGAATAGGAATTTTCCAAGTTTACCAGGAAGCATGGTGGAGATTGAGCAGTGTTGGTGCAGTGAGGGAGGAGGTAATAAGAATTTCAGGCAGAACAGCTTGGGCAAAGACTCAGGAGCTTAGAAGAACAAGGTTTCTTCAGAGATCAACAAGAATTTGGTATTTCTACTACTGTATTCTTATCCAACATACATGTTTATTCATTCGTTTTGCTGCTTCTCTTTATCTTCAGTGCATTCCATGGTACTGACGCTATTGGGTAAGTACCCAGTACTTTACAGGATAAGTTTAAAGATCTATGACAAGGAGGTGAGAATCTAAGATTTACAGAAGTGCAATGGCAACCATACTTTTTTTTTCAAATGCTGCTGAAACGTATCCATACACACTACTTTCTGGGCAAGGAAAAATGAATCAGATGAGACATTATAACTCATACTTTATGAAATTCACTTTGAAGTCAGAAAACCTGGGTCAGTCTCGGGGGCAGGAGGGGTCAGAGTAGCCCCTTGACTGATTTTTTTTTTTTTTTTTGCCCTATTGAATGTGCTTTTTGAGAAAATATGATATTTCAGTGGATAGAAGTTGAAGTCATTCTAAAAATCAGGATTCTGTTTTGAAATTATTTATTCAACAAATATTGTGCTTGTCAGGCACCATGCTAGGCCCTGGGCCTATAATGCTGTGACAGACATTATTCCAATTCTTCAGTAATTGACAGTCTTTGGGAAATTAAAAAGTAAACAATCTATTGCAATATAGTGTGTGACACACATTAGAGCTGGCCCTTCTCTTCTCTCCTGCATTCATTCGGTCTCAACACTCAACACCTCTACAGGTTCTCCCACACCACGCTTCAGTAACTGGGGAGTCGTAGATCAATCAGAATGTGGTGATTCAATATGAGCTGCAACTGTGTACTACATCTTGTTTAAAGTAATTTCATCTTGGACTTCCCAAAGGTTAACCAGCTCTAAAGTGATCCTTTGTTCTCTCCCTTCCATTTTGCATGTGAAGTATCTAATTTTGCTCTGCACATACCAGATTCAAAACATAGAACCTTTTTGGATTCCACAAAATGAATCCACTCACACAAAAGCTTTCACACAATTGAGACTTCACTGAGGATTTGGTAAGGGACCAAGAGGCAAGGCTTTACATTTTGTTTCCCAAAATAAGCTATTTAAAGCATATAATTTTATTTCTGATCTCCATGATGGTACTAACAGGGGCATGGTGTGGACGAGCTTCTCTCTCTCTCTATCCCCGTCTCTCTCCCTCACCGTCCCTTTCTATCTCCTTTTTCCCGTTCCTCACGCAGTGCCCAGCCTTATTGGATCATCTCTTGTTTATTACGCAGAGTAATTCATTCCTGAAGGAGTTTCTGTTTCTAAATTTCAGAGTTGGCATTCAGCAAAACAAAAGCTACCCATCCCACCTCCCTGTCCAGTTAACAGGACTGGCTTTCTTTAAAGGTATTTTACAGATTATGTTTTGTAATACGAGCATATTTCTGTGGTTCCATCCACTATCCCTAGTCTTCCCCCAAAAGACACGCTGATGAATTAATTTTTCTGCTTGTCATTGTAATTGTTATGTGTTGTAACTAAGAAAATACAGAGGGCATTAAGAGAACCTATGAGGTAACTTTGACTTCACTTCAGGGTCCTGGAAGGAGGAAGCAACAATCCTAAGTGAAACTTGGACAAGAAGCACCCAATAGGTAGACAAAGGGATTGAGGGTATGAGTTGTTAGTGAACAGAGGGAAAGAAGAGAGTGACTCACAAAAGAAGAACACAATTTTGGAGGCTAATTACAAGTTAGAAATAAAATAATGAGTGAGTACAGAGAGATTCACTCCTCATGACTCCTCTCTTGTGTCATCTCTCCTAGGACATTTGTCATGTCCTCAAACACGATGCTTCAAAAAATGCTGCTGATCTTGATCTCTTTTTCAGTAGTAACTTGGGTGATTTTTATAATTTCTCAGAACTTCACAAAGGTAGGAGAAAATCACCTTTGATGCAAATCACACAGGTAAGCCCTCACCTGTGCGACCAGCCTCAAGTCAGTTCCACTCTATTAGTCCTGCCCCTCCTCCCCCACTTCAACTCTACCCTACCTTCTCCCTCTCTACCTAACTTCTTAGAGGTATTGTGGACACCAACAACCTCTATTTCCTCATTTCCCACTCATCCTCAGTCCATTCCAATTAGGATTTGTCCTCGCACATGCTCCCAAAATGGCCCTTGTTAAAGCTACCAATTTCCTCATCAGTAAATAACTTATTTAATCACTCAGTCGAGGTGTATATATTACCTGGCCATGTAAATCCAGCTTGTCATTTTGTCTTTTTATTGTATCTATGATTTCCTTTTCCATGCAAGTTATTTTTTTAGCAGTACTGTTTCCCTTATAACATGTTTCTGGGTGTTAAATCATAGTTAGAAAGTTTTTTCTGCTCAAAGATTATACAGGTATTCATCCATGTTGTCTTATTTTATTACTTGTATAGTTACATTGTCTATAAATATCTGATCCACTTGGAATTTATCCTGTTGAGTGGTATAAGATATCAATCTCATTTAATTTTTTCCATATGGCTCTACGATAATCCTAATCCTCTTATTAATAATTCCATCCTATATCCTCACTGATTTTGAGTGCGGCTTCCATAGCATACTAAATTTGTATATATAATGAGGTCTATTTCTGATTTTCAACTCTGTTACATTGTCTTTTTATTCATGCATCAATACCATCCTACTTTAATTATAAAGATTTTTACAAGTAAGTTTTAATATCTGGTAGAGCTAATCCTACCCACACCCAACACTTTTGGCTTTTCTATTCCCCATACGTTTTGTAACTATTCTCTCTCATTTATCCTTTCAAGTGAACTTTCTAACTGGCCTGTCTGTCCAGAAGATATTTAGGACATTGTTATTGGGATTTTGTTAAATGTATAAGTTAACCTTGGAAGACTAAACAACATTCTAGTGATGTTAAGTTTTTCTATCCAAGGACATGATTTCCTTTACATTTGTTCAATTTTGTTTTCTTCCGTAGTGTTTTGTGAGTTTTCCTCATATAAATCTTGGACACTTGTGCAAAATGTACACTTAAATATTTTATTATCATTTTGCTGCCATATATTGGATTGTCCCTTCCATTTTAGCTTCTCTCTGTTTTTTGTCTCTGTACACAAAAGCTATTGATTTTTTAATATATTAATTTTATTTCCTACTATTTTACTAAATTCTTTCATTATTTGTAGTCATTTCTCCATTGATACTTTGGGGTTTTTCAGATAAATAACAACTGCATCTGAAAATAAAGATTATTTTTATTTACTTTTCAATTCCAGTGTCTCGAATTGCTTTCTCTTCTCTAACTGCATTAGCTAACACCTCCATCCCGATGTTCAATGTAATGAGATAGTAGGCATCCTTGTCTTGTTCCTGATTTTGGTGACAAAGCCTTAATGTTTCCCTTCAGTAAAATGCAAGCTTTTGAGTTAAAGTGTATATTTTATGTGTAGAGGAAATCCATAAATTTCTTTTTGTTGTGTTTTTCAACATGAATTAGTACTAATTTTGTCAAAGTCCTTCTGTGCATTTATGAAGATAATTATGTAATTCTTCTCATTAGCTGTATTAATGTGATGAATTACATTAAAAATGGAACAAAATGTGTATTCTTGGAATAAAACTCTCTGAATTATGATGGACTTTTTTTTATAATGTTCATTTGGATTGCTTGCCAATATTTTATTTAAGGTATATATCTCAATATTCATAAATCTAAAGTTCTTGATGCAATATCAGGTTTTGGAAAATACATTATACTTATTTCATAAGAATCGATTTGGAAGCTTTTTGTTTTTATTTGTTTCTAGTGCTCTGAACTTATTTAAGTAATATTGGGATTGACTGATCTTTAAAGTTTGGTAGAATCCACCAGCCTGGCTTGGTGCATTCAGTAGCAGTGCTCTACTACTTTTTTCCTATTCTCTATTTTTTAATGTCGCTCAGGTCAATTTTGATAGGTTGTATTTTCTGAGTTATCCATTTTATCTAGATTCTCACATGTATTTGCTTAAAATTGGGAAAATCAGCTTGTGACTTTTAAATTTTTCCCCCTTTTCAGATCTTCCCCCCCCAAAGATGTCTTATTTTACATATTTGTGTTTTCTTCCTTTTGAATTGATTAGATTCACTAGTGGCTTGTCTACTTTTTTGATTTTTTTTTTTTAAATAAAAACCTGGCCAGTAAAGAAAGTGTTATCCATTTTAGAAGTGGAGCCACCCGGGAGATGCTGGGCAAGTACGTTGCAGACAGAACATGCCTCAGAGATCTTTAGACCAAGTGACCAAGTAGAACACTGAAGCCCTGTGCATTGGAAAGAAAACTATGACTCATTCACATACATTGCAACTTGAATGTCCATGTTTCAGAATTGTTCGGGCAAAGCCCCTGGACAACATTATACTCTGTGGAACACTGGAAGACCTTTCTATCTGTAAGGCGGGCTACTCTGCTATAACAAAAGGCTATGCTGGTAACTAAGGACATACAGGAGTTAATAAAAAGACAGCACTCCCGGCCAGGCACTGTGGCTCATGCTCCCAGCACTTTGGGAGGCCGAGGTGCAGTGAGCCGAGATCACATCACTGCACTCCAGCCTGGGCAAAGAGCAAGATTGTTTCAAAAAAATAAAACAAAACAAAAAAAGATAAAATGAAATAACAAATATGGAAATATTTTAAACTCTAAACTGTCACAGAGATGTTTCAACTACCTTCTTCATCAATTTATTGAGTACTACATTTTAAATCAGAGCTTCTTGGGCTGGGCACAATGGCTCACACCTGTAATCCCAGCACTCTGGGAGGCCAAGGTGGTCAGATAACTTGAGGTCATGAGTTTCAGACCAGCCTGGCCAACATGGTGAAACGCCGTCTCTACTAAAAAAAAATACAAAAATTAGCCGGGCGTGGTGTGCGCCTGTAATCTTGGAGCTACTTGGAGGCTGAGGGAGGAGAATCGCTTGAACCTGGGAGGCAGAGGTTACAGTGAGCTGGAGATCTCGCCACTGTACTCCAGCCTGGGTGACAGAGTGTGACTCCCTCTCAATAAATAAATAAATAAGAGTTTATCAAAGTTCAGTGTGCACACAAATGACCTGAGATCTCATTAAAAATCCAGGCTGCAGGCCGGGCACAGTGGTTCAGGCCTGTAATCCCAGCACTTTGAGAGGTCGAGGTGGGTGGAATCTTGAGCTGAGGAGTTCTAGACCAGCCTGGGCAACATAGCAAGACTCTGTCTGTACTAAAAATACAAAAAAAAAAAAAAAAAAAAGCCAAATACAAAAAAAAAATAAAGTGGCAGATGCCTGTGGTCCCAGTTATTTGGGACTCAGGAGGCTGAGGTGGGAGGATCCCTTGAGGCTGTGGGGGTGGAGGTTGCAGAGTGAGCCAAGATTGGGCCGGGCCACTGCACTCCAGCCTGGGTGACAGGCGAGAACCTGTCTCAAAAATAAAAGAAAAAAAAAATCAATGTTTAAAAGAAAAGGAGTTACGGCAGAATTAGAGGCCTAAGTCATGTGACTACACTTGTGTCGCTGTGTTCAGGGGACTTTGGAGAAGCAGTATTCACGCCTGAAATTCAAGGACATGCAGAAAATGAGAGTTGCTTGGCCAGGCGTGGTGGCTCATGCCTGTAATTCAACACTTTGGGAGACTGAGGCAGGTGGATCACCCGAGGTCAGGGGTTCGGGACCAGCCCGGCCAATCTGGTGAAATCCCATCTCTACATCTCTAAAAAATACAAACACTAGCCAGGTGTGGTGGTGGGTGCCTGTAATCCCAGCTACTCAGGAGGGCGAGGCAGGAGAATCACTTGAACCCTTGAGGCGGAGGTTGCAGTGAGCCAAGATCATGCCATTGCACTCCAGCCTGGGTGACAAGAGTGAAACTCAGTCTCAAAAAAAAAAAAAAAAGAGAGAGAGTTGCTTTTGTGTCCTCAACTATGTCCTTCCTCAGAGTCCCCAGTCTATTTTTTTTTTTTTTTTTGAGATAGAGTCTCACTCTGTCGCCCAGGCTGGAGTAAAATGGCGGAGTCCCAGCTCACTGTAACCTCTGCCTCCCGGGTCCAGGTGACTCTTCTGCCTCAGCCTCCAGAGTAGCTGGAATTACAGGTGCCTGCCACCACACCCGGCTAATTTTTGTATTTTTAGTAGAGATGGGGTTTTGCCATGTTGGCCAGGCTGGGCTCGAACTCCTGACCTCATGAACCATCCACCTCGGCCTCCCAAAGTGCTGAGATTACAGGCGTGAGCCACTGCGCCCAGCCAGGCGCCCCAGCATTGAAGGAAGAGGAGCCTCCAGTGAGGATAAGTGGGGGCGAGGCTTTTCGTGCTTAGGGTAGCCAGAGGCCAGCACTACAAGACCATGTCTAAACGGGGGGACCCCTCTGTCCTGGTCTCCAACCACCCACTCCAAGAACAGAGGCCTCACTCTAGCCTGAAAGACTCTTCTCTGACACTTGACCTTCCCTTTCCACAATCCCTGGAGCGAGAACAGTGAAATCACCTTTGCAAAATTATAACTAAGGAAATTATGACAGTGAATGACATCATACCTAACCAACTCCATCTTGCTTCTAACGTCTAAACTGTCCTCATCCATTCCCGGATGTAGGCCGAACTAGTCTCGGGAAGGAATTTAGTTTGTAGTTTAAACTAAATATAATAGCCCTTCCCAAAAGCTAAACTGTTCTTGTAAAATGAACGAAAGGCCACCAGCCATCAAGTTAGAATAAGAGGGGCTGGAATTCTAAATATTACCAGCCATTATTCTGGAGGTCATCAGATTTGCAACTTCTGCAATCATTCTCGAAGGCAACATTCACTATTGTGAACCTAAGATTGGCCTTTCGAAATGGATCTTCAGGTTTTTGCATTTCTAAAAACCGGATGGCCCCATCTTTACTTGTCAACCAGGTCTGTGGCCCCCACACCCAGGAACTGACTCAGCAGAAGAGAACAGCTTCAACTCTCTGTGATTTCATCCCCCAGCCAACCAGTCAGCACTCCCGATTCACTGGCCCCCTACCCACCAAATTATCCTTAAAAACTCTGATCCCTGAGTTTTCGGGGAGAATGATTTGAGTAATAATAAAACTCTGGTCTCTGGCACAGCCAGCTCTGTGTGTATTACTGTGTGTGTGTGTGTTTTTCTTTCTTCTTCTTTGAGATGGAGTTTCACTTTTCTTGCCCAGGCTGGAGTGCAGTGGCTCAATCTCAGCTCACCGCAACCTCCACCTCCCAGGTTCAAGCAATTCTCCTGCCTCAGCCTCCCCAGTAGCTGGGATTACAGGCATGTGCCACCATGCCCGGCTAAATTTTTTAGTAGAGACGGAGTTTCTCCATGTTGGTCAGGCTAGTCTCTAACTCATGACTTCAGGTGATCTGCCCGCCTTGGCCTCCCAAAGTGCCGAGATTACAGGTGTGAGGCACCATGCCCAGCCCTGTGAATTACTCTTTATTGCTTTTCCCCTGTCTTGATAAATCGACTCTGTCTAGGCTGCGGGCAACGTGAACCCCTTGGGCAGTTACAATAGGAGGAAGGATGTTCCCAGGTGGGCAGGTATGCAAACCTCCCTACAAAGTCCAAGGAACTTGAGGGGCCCAAGGAAGAGTGGAACCGCCCAACAGGTTCACCTTGCCTGCGGCCTAGAGACAGCTCATTTACCAAGACAGGGGAATTGCCATAGAGAATAATTCACCTGGAGGCGGCTGTGCTGGAGACCTGAGTTTTATTATTACTCAAATCAGTCTCCCTGAGCATTCAGGGATCAGTCATTTTTTTTTTTTTTTTTTTTTTTTGAGACTGAGTCTTGCTCTGTCACCCAAGCTGGAGTGCAATGGCACAATCTCGGCTCACCTCAACCTCCACCTCCCGGGTTCAAGCCATTCTCCTGCCTCAGCCTCTGGAGTAGCTGGTATTACAGGCATGTACCACCACTCCTGGCTAATTTTGTATTCTTAGTAGAGACGGGGTTTCTCCATGTTGGTCAGGCTGGTCTTGAACTCCCAACCTTAGGTGATCCGCCCACCTCGGCCTCCCAAAGTCCTGGGATTACAGGCATGAGCCACCGCTCCCGGCCTTTTTTGTTTTTTAATCATAATACAATTTTTTTCTTATCAACAAAAGTCTGGCATGAAATGAAATAGAACATTTTGAAATACATATAAAGAGACAAGGCACAGTGGCTCACGCCTGTAATCCCAGCACTTTGAAAGCCCGAGGTGGGCAGATCACAAGGTCAGGAGATGGAGACCATCCTGGCTAACACAGTGAAACCCCATCGCTATTAAAAATACAAAAAGTTAGCCAAGTGTGGTGGCGGGCACCTGTAGTCCCAGCCACTTGGGAGGCTGAGGCAGGAGAATGACGTGAACCCGGGAGGCAGAAGT